>NC_000001.11:232699273-232850788 GCF_000001405.40 Homo sapiens
GGGAAAAGGAGGAAGGCCTTCCATGATTTAGTGAATTTTTTGTGTTTATTACTTGGCTCCTGAATTAGCCAGGTTAAGGTTGATTATGCTGTTGTAATGAATAATCCCCAAATCTCAGGTGTTTAAATACTCAAAACCTTATTGCTGCTGTATTACACACCTACCATTGGGCAGGAAGGGCCTCTGCTCTTTGTAATTGTTAAGGATCCCAGGCTGATGGGGGATCCATCATTTTATGACACCACTAGCTTCACACACAGTTTCAGAGTTGACTGGGGCAAGGTAACTGCTGCCCATATTCCACTGGCCAAGCAAGCCACATGGCCACACCCAGCCTCAAGGGGACGTGGGGATATGCACTTCTCAATGTACCTATAAGTGAGCCTGTGGGTGGTAGTTAATCCCTGAATCCTAACTCAGGCATTCTTTTCTATCCTGAACCGAGTTTTAAAAAGTCATGTGGAATAGAAAGGAAAAAAAAAAAGTATTTCTGCACTTCATCTCAATAACCGTTTCGTTTCTGATCTGGAGTTGAATAACAAATGTTTACAATAGAAAGTTAACACTGCCTCCATAAAGGACTCAGATTTGAGATCTGTGGAAAGAATATATTTGTTTGAGAAGAATTTACTAACACAATGCCTCCAATTAGTCAGGAATAGACCCTATGAGAAAGCACACTGGTGACGACACACCTTAAGTTAGTTGTGGTCGAGTGAAAAACGAAAATGTTCAAGCTATAGTTGTCACAGTAAGATGTATGTCCACAGAACCCACAGTCGGAGTTTCTGAGGCATGTTTAGCATGCAAAATTGCATGAGGTTTAAAGCTAACTTACTCTGTAAGACAAGTACTTTAATACTTGTTGCTCACTTTCAGACCATCGGCGAACCCCTTTAAAAGGCCAAGGTGTGGTGTTTGTGTGGATAACAAGTAATATTGGAAGTGATACTGAAAATTGGAATGACACAGAGGAAATTAGCATGGGCCCTGTGCAAGGATAACACACAAACTTGCAAAGCGTTTAATATTTTGGGGCAAGATAAAAAATGTTCTGCGGATGGGTGGTGGTGATGGTTGCACATCAATGAGAATCAACTTAATCCCACTTAACAGTACACATAAAAATGGTTAAGATAGTAAATTTTATGTTTTATATATTTTACCATAATAAAAAAATGTAAAATATCTCATTCATTTTTATGTTGTTCACATTGAACTGAAAATATTTTGGATATGTTCATTAAATAAAATATATTATTGGCATTTTTAAAAGCCAGCATGTTGCCTAAACACAACTGGGGCAGACGTCTACTGTTGCTGTCACAGGCAGTACTTTACAATATTTATTTATATCTATTTAAAGGGCAGATGATAACTAGCCAATAATAATACATTTTATTTTGAACACCAAATGCATGGTGAGCACAGGACTAATAATTGCAGATGTAGTAACACATTTATGTCTTGCAAAAACATCGACAGGGTTATTATCTCCATTTTACAGATGACGAAACACAGTCCTTATGAAGTTGACTGGCCAGGCATGGTGGCTCACGCCTGTAATCCCAGCACTTTGGGAGGCCGAGGCGGGCGGATCATTTGAGTTCAGGAGTTTGAAATCAGCCTGACCAACATGGTGAAACTCTGTCTCTAGTAAAAATACAAAAATAAGCCGGGCGTGGTGGTGGGCATCTGTAATCCCAGCTACTCGGGAGGCTGAGGCAAGAGAATTGCTTGAGCTCAGGAGGCGGAGGTTGCCGTGAACAGAGATCACACCACTGCACTCCAGCCTGGGCGACAGAGTGAGACTCCATCTCAAAAAAAAAAAAAAAAAAAAAAAAAAAAAAAAAGGAAAGAAATTGACTGATTCAAGGTCACATGGCTGATAAAGGCCAGGAAACAAACTCAGGCCAGTTGGCTCCAAAACCTGCCGGGTAAGTCGAGGCTACCCATAGAAACAGGAGGAAATGGCAGCCATGAACTCAGGGCCTTGGGCAGGGGCTAGTATGGTGGCTGGATCAGCCAGGGCATGACAAAGCTGAAGTCCCAGAAGATGTGCATCTGCCTGAGCCAGGCTTTGTTACAAAGGCGGGCATCCCAGCTATATTGTCAGGAATGGAGGACAGATACAAAGAGCAGGGAAAAGCTTAAGCCCAAGACAAAGATTTAGGGAACATGTTGTTTGTTTGTTTACTTTTTTTCTAGAGGAATCCTACCCTCTGGGGCTGCAGTATCAGTGAGCACAGAGCAGTGCCCTTTCCTGTGAGTTCCAGGTGGTGCTCATCCCTGGGCTGTGGGATTTCCTCTTCACGCCTGTGGGATTTCCTCTTCACGCCTGCAGGCTTGGTGGAGAAGCCACCTGCTGAGGGCAAGTGTCCCGGGTGGTGCAGCCCACCATCAGTCAACAAGTGAGTCTATTCAATGCAGAGGAGCCAGTGGACTTGGTGACACTCACAGGCTACCCCTTCAACCACTGGCTGATAGATGTGGTGAGAGCAATAATAGCTTTGATGGACAACCCGCACAGGACTGGGAAGGGCTGGGATTGAGAGAACTCACACCTGCCTGCACTCCCACACCTGCTCCCTCTCCACATCTGCCTGCGTTCCTCCTGAAATGTAGTTCCCCAGGTAACCACATACTCACTCCCTCACCTCACTCAGGTCTTTTTCTTTTCAAACATGCCTTCCCTAACCACTGATTTTAAATTTGATCCTCTATCTTCAACCTGCATCCCTGTTTCTATAATTCCTGCTCTTTTTTTCCTTAACATACATTTCATTCACATATTTGTTTGTTGCCCCTCTCCTCCTGCTAGAATGTCAGCTCCATGAGGGCAGGGCTTTTTGTCTGTTATGTTTACTACTGTAACCCCAGTGCCTAGAACAGGGCCTGTTGAATGAATGAATGATGATATGCATTGTCTAGCACAGAGCTGAGCCTTAAACAATCTACGTACTTAAATACTTCCATCCGGCCACGCGCTATGGCTCACACCTGTAATCCCAGCACTTTGGGAGGCCAAGGCAGGTGGATCACCTGACGTAGGGAGTTCGAGACTAGCCTGACCAACATGGAGAAACCCTGTCTCTACTAAAAATACAAAATTAGCCGGGCGTGGTGGTGCATACCTGTAATCCCAGCTACTCTGGAGGCTGAGGCAAGAGAATCGCTTGAACCCGGGAGGCGGAGGTCACAGTGAGCTGAGATCATGCCATTGCACCCAGCCTGGGCAACAGGAGTGAAACGCTGTCTCAAAACAAAAAAAAATTTCCATCCCTAATTTTTCCACTGAGCTGCAAACGTAGAGTAGATTCAACTGCCAATCTGACAACCTCACTTGGCTAAGAAGAATGACAAACTAACCTGGCTCCAGGGAAACTCTTACTGCCACTGACCTTCCTCCCCTAATAGCCCTGACTTGTTCTTCCTCATCTTATTTAAAGTTACCACCATCCATCCAGACACCTCGCCAAAAATCTAGGCATCATCCTTAATTTCTTTCCTTCCCATCCACTCACATCCAATCCATCAGCAAACCTGTTGGCTTTATCTCCAAGATGAATCCCTGCTGTGTCAACTTCTCCTTATCTCCAGAAACTATTCTAGTCCAAGCCAAGCCACCAGAATTTCCTACCTGGGTTATGCATACTCTATTAACTATTCTTTTTACACTCACTTCTTCCTATAATCCCCACCCTATAAAGCAGACAGGATGGTCTTTTAAAATGCAACGCAGACGATGTCACTTCCCTGTGGAAAATTCCTCCCAGAGTCACCACTGAATATAGACTAAGATTTAGGCTCCTTTTGTGGTTTCAGTGTCCCACATGACTGGCTCTGCCTGTCAGATAAGCTCATCTGCTACTGCACACTGGATCACCTACCTTTCTGAGTCCAACACTCCCCCACGTGTCCTCAGAGCAAGTCAAGCTCATTCCTGCTTAAGGACCTTGGCTCCTGCTCTTTCTGCTACCTGGACTGCTGCGCTTCCACATCTTCACAAGGTGGTCTTCATATCCACGCATCATATCTTCACAATGTACCTTCGCATTGCTTCATATCAAATGCGACCTCCCTGGCTAAATCCTGTCACCTCCACCCTGGTCACTCTTTATCAAATCATTGTATTCTGTATCTTTCTTTCTTAGTTTTTTTAGCATGTGTTACTATCAAAAATTACGAGGTAAATTTGTTTGCTTTGTTATTTTGTCTCCTCCTGCCCATTCCCACCCTAGGTAACATGTAAATTTCCTTCCATGTGAGAAAGAACCTTATCTGCGTAGTTTACAGTTTGTCACTGTGTCCCTAGTGCCTAGCACAGAGCCAGGCTTGTCAGAGGTGATCAATGAATATTTGTTGCGTAAATGGAGTCTTGTGGAGCTAAATGGAACTGCAGTGGTATTCCCATGTAACTGATGGAGGAATAGACACTTAGGGATTTCAGTCATTTGCCCAAAGGTATGCAGCCAGTAAATGGCAGAAGAAACTAGGGTTCATAGCTGGGAGCCAGTGCTACCTGGCAGAACGTCTTCTCTTGGTAAGGCTAACTTGTCAGGACCATCTGACTTTAAAGACCTGAGGTTTTCGCCAGGCGTGGTGGCTCATGCCTGTAACCTCAGCACTTTGGGAGGCCAAGGCAGGCGAATCACCTGAGGTCAGGAGTTTGAGACCAGCCTGACCAACATGGAGAAACTCCATCTCTACTAAAAATACAAAATTAGCTGGGCATGGTGACGCATGGCTGTAATCCTAGCTACTCAGGAGGCTGAGGCAGTAGAATCGCTTGAACCTGGGAGGCAGAGGTTGTGATGAGCCGAGGTCATACCATTGCACTCTAGCCTGGGCGACAGGAGCAAAACTCTGTCGCGCAAAAAAAAAAAAAAAAAAATAGATCTGAGGTTCAGACAGGTGCCCAATTACCTACCAGGCTGGAGCTTCAGAGAGCTAGTGATCAGTCAGGGAAACCTGACCTTGAGAGAGTGGGGGTACCAAGGTAAAGGCAGGACTAGCCAGAGGTCTCACTGAGTAATTCATAGTGAAGCCCACCATAGGGGCACCAGGTTGGATGAAAGGTAGAAATCAAGTAAATTTGGCCACCAGAGTGAGAAGGATTCCATGGTAGCACTTCCCACTGCTGAAAGCCTGGCGAACACTTCCTGTTGCCTTATCTGGCTTTATGGTAGTCGTTTTCCTCTCCCTATTTAGAAGACATCCCAGTCTTATCCTTCTGGGCCATTCATGCTTGGCTAAGTTTCCAGCCCTGTGTCCCCTAGTGACACCTGTGTCTTGGCATGACACAAAGAGCCAATATGTATTAAAACAGCTCTGTTAGTAACCTGTATGGTGTTTAAGGAGCCAAGTGAAATCAGAACTAATAGTATTATCTGTCTGCTTAGTGCATAAATGTAATGGCATAATCTCATACAAGGAGCAAACAGAGACAGACAGAAAAACATCAGTTTAAAGGAGTCTTGTTTGACCTGTATGTAGTGTGCAACAGCTTCCTGGGTGTTCATGTTGCTGGGTTCAAGTCTCCAAAATAGTCAGCAGGCAGAAAGTCTCCTCTGTTTGATAACAGTCCCAGATCTGTCAGTTCGGTTGCCAACCCTAATTTGTAAATTCTCTTCTGTAAAGATTGCACAATTGTGCTCATTTTCTGTTGACTGTGGGCTGGCTAATGGCTGCTAATGAGTCAGCTGCTAAGTGACTCAGCACTGCATCAATAAAACAGATCCCTTCGTCCCTGAATCTGCTGGATGAAAATGATGTCTTCCTTTGTCAATGTGTCCCTTTTGGCCCCTGCTGAGAACTCATGACCTGATGTATTGTGTAAAGCGTCCCATCCTTAAAGAGCCCACTCTATCAACTCAATGAAAACCAAGAGGAATATTCCAAGTTTTTGGTGTTTTTCTATTCTGGTTTTTGTTTTCCTCACTGCAGAATGTTCACACTTGCATTCTTTCTAGTAAACTAGAAAGTCTCATCTTTCTTCTCGTGTAAGGTGTGCTATTGTTGATGGCACTCTATGGGCTCTGGGTGACTGAAGGTGTGTTAGAATAGATGGGTAAGAGGAAGAGACAATGGCCAGCCTTTGGTGAATCAGGGTCTGGTTTATGCCCAGACGCACAGTTGGCACTAGCAGTAAGACAGAAAATCTGGAAAAACTGAACAATCAGCTAGCCTTGGGGTATCTTTCACAATGTAATGGGTACTCAGCAACATAAGTGTCCTAACTGGCCGCCTCTCAAAGAAAACTAATACTGCATACACAAATATAAATTGGCAACAGCTTAAACACAAGTGCTGTACGTATCACAAATAAGATGTTTCACATAATAAAAGGTATTCTCTAGAGAGGGCCCTTTTCAATAATGTCAAACATCATTTGAAGTGTTCACATATTTCTCAGGATCCATCGGGAACAGGAAATGGGAACAGAGGAAACAGGAGCAGAGGACTCAAAGGAGGCATCAAGTTCTACCTCCAGAATTAGAACAGAAAAGAGAAAGGAAAGCTGCAAACCCAGTCAATCCTGGCTGTGCATGCATCAGAACCACACCAGCCTTCCACGTCTGAGATCCCGAGACAAGCTGCCTCTGAACCAGTAAGAGCCTCTTGCTCCTTCCTTCTGAGGAGCTACCCGGTGCCTGAGTACTGACTACATACTCTCCAGAGGCAAGTGTGTCTTCAGACTTTCCACCTTCATAGGCACAGTCCAGACCTAGTCGTCTTATTACTTCTTTGTTATGGGGCACTTTGAAATATAGAACCACGCCTTTATGTTCTAGGACACTGGTCTCTCCCCATTCCCTCTATGTTAGAACAGCACTATTGGTGCTGTGACATAGGTCACCCCCTCTCATGGACTTACACACTCCCTTTTCCATTTCTTTCATTCCATTCAAGAAATTTTGAAACAAGTGATTTCTAATTAAAATATTCACCTACTTTAATAATTTCATAATAGTAACAAATGACTTGTTAAACATTCCAATGTGTTGCAATATGGATGTGGAGAACTGCTCTTCTGGAAAAAACAATGAAGCTCGGAGATGTTTGTGACTTGCAGAGCTGGTAAGGACACCCAGGCCTGCTGACCCCCATCCAAGTGGCTTGTTCCTGAGCCTCACAGATTGTACAGGATTCTCAGATTGTGCAAATGCGGAAGTGGTGGTGGACAAGAGCCAGTAGCCTGTACATTTTGGTACATTTTCAGCCTCTGAAAAGTCATTTTTCTGTCTTGTACTTCAGTGTCCTTTCTCTCAACTCCAGGCTGCCTTACTTCCTCCTGAATACCCTTGACCCGTCTCTGCGCTTGAATCTTTGTTCACCTCCCTCTCTGGGATGAAAGGCTCTCTTCAATCTTCATTGGCTTCAAGACCTTGCAGGAGCACTACCTGCTCTCCGAAGCCTTTTCCCACTTCATGTCTTCTAGCGATCTCTCCCATCTCTCCTGCAGCTGTACCATCTCCATCACTCATTCAGGGCTTTCAGAACGTCCCTGATGTTGTGAAATCGTCTTTAAAAATATTGTCGTGTCCTCTTGTTGGGATATACATTCCTTTTGAGGAGGTATTGTGCCTTGTACCATTAATTATTTTATTTTCTTTTATTAATTATTAATTTATTAATGCATTATTCCAATCTACCAAAGATTTGAGATATCGTATGAAAATGATATAATCTGAGAAGATAAAATTAGCAGTCAAGGTAGTTCATGTGAAAGGGAAAACAAGAAAAGGAGACATGTTTTCACATCCCTAGCACCCCACAGAGTATCTAATCCAGGAACTCACTACTTTTTTGTTGCTTTTAGAGAATCTGTGGAAGAAACACAAAATCAAAATATTGATCCATTCTATTTGTATATCACTTTATAATTTTAAACATCTTTACATCATTGGGGCTAAGCATTCTTAGGAATATATTTTTGATCTTTATTTTATAAATAAGAAAATTAAGACTCAGAGATGTGAAGTGACTTGGCCAAGTTCACTAGCTGGTTAATCTGGCAAGCTGCCACTGAAACCCAGTTTTCCTGTTTGAACATGTTGTGCCCTACCTGCTGGAAGAACAAACTTTGTATAACGTTTGTATTTGTATTAAAGACTAAGAGATGTGGAGAACAAGAACATTACTGAACCTGTACAGTGGGATGATACCAGCCATCCGGGGGAGAGGAAGTAATCAGTTATTGGGTGAGAAACTAAGATGGATACCTCATGTTTTTTCAAAATCAAGTACTCTATGTAAGAACTAATGAACCCTATAGAGATCATTCATAGAGCAGAATAACAGAGAAACTGAGATATGCCAGAGTGAGGCTGAGGGGCTGAGGACTCTATGAAGAGTTACAACTTAGGGCCATTATAAATTCAGGCCATTTATTACCACAAGCTTGTAACCCCTTGTCACTACTGTTGTTTGCATTCAATCAATTTTATATTTAATTTTAGAATATAAAAAAGCAATGAAAAGGCTAACCAAAAAAAGGCTAAAAAAAAAAAAAAGCAATGAAAAGACTACCAAAGATGCAATTCCTCACAATCCGCTCTGAATGAAAGTGAAGTAGAGGACAGACATGGTGGCTTATGCCTGTAATCCCAGCACTTTGGGAGGCCGAGGCAGGCGGATCACTTCAGGTCAGGAGTTCAAGACCAGCTTGGCCAACACGGTGAAACCCTGTCTCTACTAAAAATACAAAAATTAGCCTGGTGTGGTGGCGCATACCTGTAATCCCAGCTACTCAGGAGGCTGAGGCAGGAGAATCACTTGAACCTGGGAGAAGGAGGTTGCAGTGAGCCGAGATCGTGCCACTGCACTCCAGCATGGGCAATGCAGCAAGACTCCATCTCAAAAAAATAAAAATAAAAATAAAGAAAACAAAAAGAAACAAAAAAGAAAGTGGAGAATGTAAGCTGCATCCATGATCCATCAACACGATATTTTGTTGAGAAAATTGTTGGCAGTACCATGAAAGGGATGTTTCCATTGGTATCTAGAAGAAAACATTACTGCCAATATTGGGGACAAAGATTTTCATAGTTTGATGGAAAACCTTTATCTTTCTTTGGGCATTCTCTCCCTAGTCTTATTGGATGAAGGAATGTGTCTACTAACCATGTCTACAGGCAGACCAAGATCCCTTGGGAAGCTCTTTAACTCCCTGTACCCTGGGAACCAGTTGTGTAGCAGGGTAATCATGCACCTAGTACTCCAGACCAGCTTCAAACCCTGCCACCATGCTCAAGTCTTGTCTGTCCATGGAGAAGTGGGCCCTAATGCTACCCACAGGACCACAGTGATCATTCTGAAATATAGCTCTTCAAAAAGCCCAGAAGCTCATTGGGAAATAAAATAACATTTTTGAAATAGTCAATAAAGTTCTTTTTTGAAATTAGAGTATTATTGGAATTTATTTGAATCGAAATCAGAAGAGTATTAGAAGCTGAATGGAGTGGCATGGGCCATCAGTGAGGGGCATGCTCTAGGAATTTAGAGAACTAGGGGATGAGACCGATAAAAGTTATGTTATTTAATTAATTAATTAATTAATTTTTAGACGGAGTTTCGTTCTTGTTGCCCAGGCTGGAGTACAATGCCGTGATCTCGGCTCACCACAACATCTGCCTCCTGGGTTCAAGCGATTCTCCTGCCTCAGCCTCCCGAGTAGCTGGGATTACAGGCATGCACCACCATGCCTGGCTAATTCTGTATTTTTAATAGAGACAAGGTTTCTCCATGTTGGTCAGGCTGGTCTCAAACGCCCGACCTCAGGTGATCCGCCCTCCTCAGCCTCCCAAAGTGCTGGGATTACAGGCGTACCACTGCGCCCGGCCTAAAAGTTATTAAGAAGGTGGCATGAAGAAATAGGGGCAGAGGCAGACCCGTCTGTGCTAGGATTCCAGCCCCATCCTGACTACATGTATGACCTAGGAAATGTTAAAATGTTACTTGACCATTTTGTGCCTCCATTTCTTGACTAGACACAAATCACAGTTTAATGGCAGTTTCCGAAGAGGTGGCAAAGAGTAGCATATATTTAGAAAACGTTACAAGACAGGAAATTAAAACCAACATGGGAGTTAGCTTCTAGTGACAGCTCTGGACTGGAGAAGCACTTATTTTTAGGCTTTCTAAACCTTTGCAATTTATTTCAGGGGATTCAGGGAAAGAGCATGGATTTTCCTAAAGGGATGAAATGAGCTGCAAAGCGTGAGTCATCACCTGACCTGTGTGATTGTCTTTTGCTGACTCTTCAGTTAAATGTTCCACAGGGCATTTCCTTGCTTCCTGGCAAAGTTTACAGTTTGGGGAGTGGAAGAAACATCAGGGACCTCTTCCAGGAAGACTATTGAGTAACTATGACCAGGTGCATCCCATGGCGACGGCCGCCCTGGGTGGAATGGTTAGGTCTTGCATTAGTGCGGTGTTACTTGATGAGGATCAGGGGCTCCCAGACAGGCATCTGGGTTGGTGACAGAAGATGGTGGCCCTCCCTGGAAGTTTAACAAGGATGTTGGGAAACTGGGAAATGAATTCCCTATTCTCAGCTCATCAGAGATGGTTACTTTAGGCTCTTCATGGAGCTGTCTGCACCCGCAGTTTAACTGTGCATTTGATGTCTGGGGCCCTGAGCTGAAATGGAACCTGCTGGTCCAGCCTACAGTCCATCCCCTGCTCACTCAGATGCTTCAACAGAGGAGCCCATGGGACTGGACAGATGCACATTAACCCACCAGGGCCATAAATATAGTCATAAAATGGTGGTTCAGACCAGATGAATAGCAAGCCTACACAGTGCTTCTCATTCTGTATCTATTAGTACAATATGAGGTTTTTTGTTTTTGCTTTTGTTTTTGAGATGGAGTTCTGCTCCTGTCACTGAGATTGGAGTGCAGTGGCACGATCTTGGCTCACTGCAACTTCTGCCTCCCAGGTTCAAGTGATTCTCCTGCCTTAGCCTCCCGAGTAGCTGGGATTACAGGCACCCATCACCATGCCCAGCTAATTTTTGTATTTTTAGTAGAGACGGGGTTTCACCCTGTTGGCCAGGTTGGTCTCGAACTCTTGACCTCTGGTGATCTGCCTGCCTCAGCCTCCCAAAGTGCTGGGATTACAGGCATGAGCCACTGTGCCCGGCCTACAATATGGAATTTTTCATTGACGCAAGTGACCACATATTTCTATTCCTAAATTTTTATATATCACAGAGAAAAGTCAAAGTGCAACAGAAAAGCAAAACAACAAACAATGCAAACAGACAAATAACATGAAGAACTTTCCAAATATTTTTCTTACTTCAACCACTGCTGTATTATTTGTCCTCATTGAAATGCTCATTGTTTTTCTTATTTCGCTTCACAATTGTCTCCTTTGGCTAAATTGATGGCAATCATGGCCTTGCCTTTCAATAGCTCAATAATTTTGGCTATTCTTAAGAGATATGGGTGCAATGATACATAGATATTTTTAAGTTATCTAAATTTCTGTTTTTGAAGATTCCATATACTGTGCTTTTATTATTATTGCTTGATAAATCTCTTAGCTAAGGAATTGTTGTCAAATTTCTTTCTCTAATCATGCATCTATGTTTGAAATGTCCTGGTATTTTCATCATATCTCACCTTCCTGGAGCCGCATTCTTTTACCCTTCTTTGAGCCATCAGTGAGTGTTGTAATCTCTCCCGTCCCAAAACCAGAGCACCTTCTTGGGCAAACAAATGTTTTCCCAAGTTCTCATGGTGTTCCCAAACTACTTCCTCCCACTCCATGATATGCGTATATTTTATTCTTTTAAAAAACTAATCATCTTGATTTACTAGTTATTAAACACTTTTTATCTTCAGAATTTACCATTTTAATGGTCTTCTCTGCTTTTCTGAAAGCCACATTTCACTGGTATTTTTACTTAAGTAAAAGGCAGTGAAAGGATTGTCAAATATAACTCAAGTATTAATTAAAATTCAGGTAAAAATATCTATTGCCACAAAAATACAGAAGTTACATCAAAATGGCAACCACCAGCTTACACCCTATTTATTTTAAGCAAAAAGTTAGTATGTGAAAATTTTAAGATATGGGCCAGCACCCCATGTGGCAACCCACTGTGGTGAGACTTGATTCATATCACATTAATTATAATTCTTTGTGGAAATAAATATTAACATACACAAGGCATGACCCCCTCCATTCTCTTATTTCTTAAAACTGGTTCTGTGGGTTGTAACCAATGATTTAGTTACATTACGTCCCTTATTGCAGTGTTCCTAACTTAATGTTCTCTCTCTCTTTTTCCCCTGTCTCTTTCTCTCTTCCTCTTCTGTTTTTCAGGCTTAGACTTTCTGTCTTTTTCCTTTGGTGCAAACACAGTTCTGGAAAAGATCAGCTTGGCTTCACAGAATATATTGTCATTATTTCCCATTTTTCTTTCTCTTGGGACATACACAATTCGGATTCTAAAATGCATCACTATGTACCTCTCCTCATTCAAAATGTCTGAGAATATCAGGGCAAGCTGAACTGCTCATGAGACCCCGCTTAAATGATTTGATACACTGACTGTGACATCTTATTATTTAATTTCCATGTGCTCATATCTTCCCCAGTAAATTGTAACTTTCTTGAGCCTGCAGCCTATTAATCTTTATAAGCACCTCCCACCCAAAGTCTAACACAATGTTTTACACTTAGATGCTCAGTATGTCTTTATTGAAGGAATAGCTATCCCACTTAGCTGTAATTCTCTTCAAATCCAGGTGGACATTTTCCAGTTTCAAGACCTATATTCTGTGTACGTTTTAATCCATGGCCCTTGCCAAATTCTCTCCTTATAAAATAGTGATAAATCAATGTTTCCCCTGCCAATATTTCACTGGAAAACATGATCTAGGTAGCAACGGGGTAGCAGGCTGTGTGGGTGTGAGACGCTGCAGCATTTCTCAGCTACTCTCTAGAAAACCGGCTTCAGAGCTCTCCCAGGATATGCCATTATTACTTCCCTGCCAAAACCTGCTTTTGCTTCTTCACTCTAGAAATTAGAATCATTTTGGATAGATCTTTAGGCTCACGATCTGGATTCATTACCATCCGTCCCACAATTTCATCTAATTGTGATTTTAATTTTTTATCAAAGTAACACAGAAACTGTTGAACAAAAACACTGTTTTATTATAGGACTTATAATAAAAGAGCAGTTCCCTCACCACACTTTTCTATTTCCCAATTCCCACACCTCAAATGGCATCACTTTTCACTCTCTCAGCTATGTCTTGTGATTTATACTTTGTCAAAGACAGATAGCACCTGGTCTTTGTTCCAAATGCTCTAACAAAATACATACCATAGACTGGCTGACTTATAAACAACAGACATTTATTGTCCACCGTTCTGGAGCTGAAAGTCCAAGATCAAGGCTACCTAAGATGGCTGTCATCTTACTCCAGACTCACATGGGTGAAGGAGCTAGCTGGCTCTCTAAGGCCTCCTTTATAAGGGCACTAATTCCATTCATGAAGGCCTCACCCTCATGACCTAACCACATCCCAATGATTCCACCTCCTAATCACCTTGGGGGTTAGGATTTCAACATATGAATTTTGTGGGGGACATAAGCGTTCAAAACATGACAGATTTAAAAAAATAGTTTTTCATATTTCAAATTTAGACATTGTCTTTAACTTTCTATCATAAAAGATGGAATTTGGCTCTTCCCCATGCCCCCAAAACACATATACACAGTCCCACACCCCCACTGTCCCTGAACCCAGTTATGTTGTTAAAATCAATTGTGGGAGTTTATATTACTTTGATTGCATAATTATTATTTACAGTTGAATCATGTAAAGCAATATTGTTACATTTCCTTTCTTGTAATTAGTGAAATTAATTCTTGTCCTTTTTGCTCATTTTTCTGTATTATGCTAAATCATCCTTAAAATTTCCCACAGAAATCTAAATTTCCTCTCAAGGTATTAAAGCCATCAAGTGATTTTTTTTCCATTTTCATTTCCATTTATTAGTTTATTATTATTATTATTATTATTCAACATCTCTCTCCTGGAGCTGTCTTTCAGCTTCAGTCTGCCCTGGTTGTTCTCTTGGCCAGATACTCAGCTGACATCCAGGGACTCTCCTTATCCACCATCCTGTGAGTTCCCTTTGCCCCTCTCCTGTGTTACATCCCTGATTCCTAAACAACGAATCTCCTTTTTTAGTTTACTCTCTCATTTTGGTGGAAGTAATTTTTAATTTTCAGAGCTGTAACAGGAACAAATAGAGATAACTTTTTTGAAGGTCTGAATGTCAGAAAATATCTTTATTATGTCCCAATACTTGTTTGATGGTTTGGCTGAATATAGAATTATAAGTTAGAAAATATTTCTCTTAGAATTTTTGAAGACATTACTCAGTTGTCTTCAAATTCCCTGTGTTCTTTTTGAGAAACCCAGGCCATTCTGATTCTCAATAATTAAATGTGACTTGAGGTTTATGTTTTGTTTTGTTTTTGGAAGATTTTAGGATCCCCTTTATCCCTAAATTCTACAGGTATGCCTTACTAGTGGGCAAGGTCCCACTTAGGGTGGGTCCTTTCTAATTTCAACCATTATCCTGGAGAATTACTTTTCAGTCTGGAAACTCATATGCTTCTATTTGAGAACTTTTCTTGTATTATTTCTATGATACTTTCTTCCCCTTCACTTTCCATGTTTTCTCTTTCTGGAATGTCTACTAGTCAGATATTAGATCTCCTGGATGAATCCTCCATTTTATTCATTCTCTCTCACTTTCCTTGTATTTGTCTTTTAGTTCTCACATTTGGAGAGAATTTCTTACTTTATTTTCTAATCCACTTATAATTTAGAAAAACCTATGTTAACATATTTTACTTATCAAAGTTCAGTCTAGTTTTATGAATCTGAAAACATATTCTCTTGCTCTATGGTTGCAATATATTCTCTGCTTTCTTTGAGGATAAAAATTATACACATTTTGAATATTTCTTCTCCTTGTGTTTCTCTGTTTCATATTTTAGATGGTGTCTGTTGCTATGTTGCCCAGGCTGGTCTCAAACTTCTGGGCTCAAGCAATCTGCCTCAGCCTTCCAAGTAGTTCCATTCCATTGTACATGGCTATTTATTGTTATCTTTCATAATAGAGATCTTGATCAAATGTCTAGTAAACCTTGTCTGTCTTTTTATATTTAAGAGAAAGGAATTAAAAAGCTGAAAGCAAACTCTGTATGTGGAGGGAGGATCTGTTGGCAGATGGGTTTTACCGTCAGAAAGCCAACTTTTTCACTGGGAGACACCAAAATGTCCATATATATAGATTGTTTTCTATTTGACCATCCTTTTTTGCTTCTTTTCTTTCCTGCCTTCTTTTGGATTGATTACATATATGTTATGATTCCATTATGATTGCTCAAGTATTGGCTCAAGGAGTATACTTCTTGTCTTACTTTTCTATAAGTTGCTTTAGGGCTTAAAATATACATCTCTGATTTATTACAGTCTATCTTCAAGTAATATTAGACAACTTCCTGAGCAGAATTTTGTTCTCTTCTTAACATTATTTCTTTCTTTCTTTTTCCTTCTATTTCATTTTTTTGAAGAGATGGAGTCTTGTTATATTACCCAGGCTGCAGTGCTGTGGTTATTCACAGATGTGATCACTGTGCACTGTGGCCTCAAACTCCTGTGCTCAAGTGAGCCTCCTGGCTCAGCCTCTCAAGTAGCCGGGACTGTAGGTGCAGGCAATGGTGCTCAGCTGAGTTCATTTGCTCTTACTGAGTTCATTTTTCTCCCTGATAAATGTATGAAAACTATAAAATTCTCTCTAGGTATGCTTTTATTATGTCCCTTTAATTTTGACAAGTAAATAACTCACAGTAATTCAGTTCTATGTGTTATAGCATTTCTTATGATTTATCTTCATCTCAAGTGTTTGGGATAGTATTTTTTTTTTAGTTTAGTTTGTACAACTTAGTTTCAGTATTTAATTTAGTTTACTTATTAGCTAAGTCATTTAGTTTTATTTGTTTAGTTCCTTTTAATTTAGTTTAGTTTGTTAGCATAGTTAAATTAGTACTTACTAATCAGTTACTAATTTTTAACATTTTAGTCTTTTAAATTATTTTGATCCACTATTTAAACATTTAGCTTATTATTTAGTGTAATATTTAGTATGTTACTGACATTTTTCAGATACCTTTAGTATTGATTTATAATTATTGTTACTAGTATGATGTTTATTATATTTTATTATTATTATCTTATGATATTTTCATTTGGAATTTCTTGATGCTTATTTTATGGCTTCACACGTGGCCAATTTTTCTGACTATTCCATTTTCACTCAAAAGAGAATGTTTTCTACATCTATTGAGGGTGAGTATGTACACATAGTACTTATACATTAATCTTATTGATTGTATTATTTAGATTCATCTATTTGTTAATTTTTTCAATGAATGTTCAGTACCTACTTTTTTGTTACACACTGTTCTAGGCATATGAGGTGGTGAGCAAAACAAAATTCCTGCCTTTCATGGAGGCAATATTTTGCTGGTGCTGATAATAAATTAGTAAACAACACATTACATCTTACACACATATATGTGGTAGTGATAACTGCATTGGAGAACAATAAAGCAGAATAAGGGTGATAGAGAATTCAGGTCATCTGTGGTCAGAGTTAATTCATGAAGGGTAGATTAGGAAAACCTCTCTGAAAAAAATGATAATTAAACTGATCTTTTATAGACGTATTTATTTTCCTTTGCTTGACCTGTTGGTTTGAAATGGTATATTAGAAATCCCCAAAAACAATTAGTGCTGTTTTCACCAGTATCTAATGTCCCTTTTTGATTGGTATGATATGTTTTTTTTGTCTCAAGTTCTATTTTGTCAGATATTAAAATTTGAATACCATGTCTGTTTTGATCCATATTTGTATATCTTTCTCAATCTGGGTCAACCACTTGGGTTTGAATCTCAGCTCTGCCACTTACTACTAGTTTTTTTTAAATCTTGGAATGATTACGTAACCTTTATGCTTCAATTTCCTTATCTAGTAAATGGGGATATTAATAGGAACTACATTATAGTATTGTTATGAGGATTAAATGAGTTAATACTTGGAACAGGCTTAGAACAATGCCTGGCACATAGTAAGTGCTACAAAAGTTAGTAGCTGGCCGGGCGCGGTGGCTCACGCCTGTAATCCCAGCACTTTGGGAGGCCGAGGCGGGCGGATCACGAGGTCAGGAGATCGAGACCATCCCGGCTAAAACGGTGAAACCCTGTCTCTACTAAAAATACAAAAAATTAGCCGGGCGTAGTGGCGGGCGCCTGTAGTCCCAGCTACTTGGGAGGCTGAGGCAGGAGAATGGCGTGAACCCGGGAGGCGGAGCTTGCAGTGAGCCGAGATCCCGCCACTGCACTCCAGCCTGGGCGACAGAGCGAGACTCCGTCTCAAAAAAAAAAAAAAAAAAAAAAAAGTTAGTAGCTATAAAAAAAATAAAATCTTCATTTCAAATCTTTCTGTTTTCTTTTGTTTCAAGTTTGTCTCTTGTAATAACATATTAGGTTCTTCTATTTTTTAAATCCAGTGGGTGCTTTAAAATCCATTTACATTTACTCTGATTACTTTTATTATAATAAAAAATACTTCTGACATCTTATTTAACATTTTCCATTTACTGTACCTTTTGAATTTTTTCCTTCATTTCTTATTTTTCATTGGATAGATGATGTTTTTCTCCCAGCTTGAAACATAAACTATTACCTTTTTGAGAAAATATGTCCTTCCCTTTTCCTAGTATTTCTATTATTTCTTAGTCATTCTCTGGTATACACATTTTGTGTCCTGTCTTATAAGTGGTTATGTATGTTTTGATTTTCAGTCTCATAATAAATCCTCTGTTTGTCTTCTTATTTCACCTGCAGTACTACACAGTGCCTTTACACATCCATGGCTTTGACTCCCTTTACCCGTTAATGACTTGCACATCTATATATCTGTCTCAAATTTCTATCCCAATCATCTTAAACCAGTGCATTCACCTGACCTGCGCATCCCATTTGCTTGGCCCTCAAACATTTCACACTCGAAACATCCAAAACTGAACATGTTGCTTGTTCTGTGTTCCCTTTCTCCAAAAATGGTAATGCCATGTTGACAGTTGCCCAAGCCATCACTTTGACTCCTCTTTCTCCTTCTTACTCTATGTCTAATACATTACCAGGTCCTGTCAATTTTTATTCCTAAATCTGGCTTGAATGTATATGCTATTTTCCCTCCATCATCATGGGTCTAGATTACTGTAACAACCTTCAGTATGACATTTCTATGCCTGGACTTCTCCTCCCCTGCCTACCCCAATACACTCTTCTACCCTACAAACTGAATGATCTTCACAAAACAAAGTTCTGATGATGGCATTACCCACTTAATACTCTTCGATGGCATCATATTGCACTTTGGGTTTGTTAGAAATGCTTGTTCCCTGGTGCTGTAAAGAAATAGCACTTTAACATAAATTTAATTTCCTCAGCAAGCCCATTTTTTGACTTTCTGCAGAAAGGGTACACTCACCAGCAGTTTTGCCAAGAGAGTACACCGAACAAAGGAGACAGGGTAATTAATAACCTGACATGTCCACCCTATTGCTGCGTCCGGTTTCCATTGGCTGGAACGTGACCTCACATTCTGTGTTTGTCCCAACTGGCTAGCAACTTAGAACTTTTTAAAAGAGGCAAAGGCAGAGGAGAACAAAGAAAGGAGGAAGTAACCTGTGGTATGCTGAGAAAGGTAAAAACACCTTCAAATAAGGAAGAGGAACAGGCTATGACCTAATGCTTGCTTGTACCAGTATAAGCATGCCAGGGCAAATATTTAGGCTAAACTGTGGGAGTTAAGAACATAAAGTATATTAATTTCTTTATTACGGCTAGCAGATATCTAAGAATGTTAGCACAGAAGTTACTATTTATTCCTAATTAGATGGGAGGAAAGTCTTTGAAGAGGAACCTCTACTTTACTTTTTACAGGTTAAATGTTAACAGCTTTATATAGCTTAAAGGTCTCGGTGTGAGCTGAGGTTCCTGTTAACTCTCAGCTTTTCCTCTCCCAAACTTCGTAGAGAAATTTCTTCAGCCCCTCAAACATATCAGGATTTCCTCTTACCGTCATACTTTCTCACGAGTTGTTTCATCTTCCTAGAACACATTTTCCCTTCCTCTTGGTCTGGTGAAATTTAACTCAACCTTCAGAAATTTTACTCAACGTTTCTAATATTTCTACTATTTCTTATTCATTCTCTTGTATACACATTTTGTGTCATCTCTTATGAATGGTTATGTATGTTTTGATTTTCCCTTCCTCTCAGCCTGGTGAAATTGTACTCAGCCTTCACACCTCAGGTTAGATGTCATTTCCTATGAGAAGCCCGCCTCGTTCAGGACGTCCATGATCTCTCACAGCCTTCTGTGTTCCCTCCTCAACACGGTGTTTTATAGCTTTTTAAAAAATTCTGTGATCATATTATGCTCAGCAAACAGAGAGAGACTATTCTTGTTCCCTGTGCCTAGGATGTGCTTGATGTATGGTAAGTTCTCACTAAAATGCTTTGACTTGAATTGCATATCCATGCTGTACTGCAGGTTCCTGGGATTCTTTTAACTCTACAAATTTCTCTCAAATTTATCTACTAATTGTCTTCTTAGAGACAACTAATACATTTCTAGTTGTATACTTTATTGTTGATATAGTTAGGAATGGGTGCTCAGTGTCGCAAAAATCAATGCTGAGACAAAAGACCTCTCAGCAAGGCTAGTTTACTTTCTGCAGAAAGAGTGCTGCTCACTAGCAGTTTTGCCATGAGAGCACACACGAACAAAGGAAGCAGGGTCATTTATAACCTGACGTGTCCACCCTACTGCTGTGTCCAGTTTCCATTGGCTGGAACGTGACCTCACATTCTGTACTTGTCCCTATTGGCTAGCAACTTAGAACTTTTTAAAAGAGGCAAAGGCAGAGGAGAACAAAGGAAGGAGGAAGAAACCTGTGGAATGCTGAGAAAGGTAAAAACACCCTCCAAATAAGGAAGAGGAACAGGCTATGACCTAATGCTTGCTTGGACCAGTATAAGCATGCCAGGGCAAATATCTAGGCTAAAATGTGGGAGCTAAGAACACAAAGTACATTGATTTCTTTATTACGGCTAGCAGATATCTAAGAATGTTCACACAGATCTTTGAATAAATTTTGCTTCTAAGAGAAGTTACTATTTAATGCTAATTAGACAGGGAGGAAAGTCCCTTTGAAGAGGAACTCTACTTCACTTTCTACAATATCTACATTTACAGAAGAATTCTGTATTGTTTACAAAGTAATTTTCCATGGATGATCTCATTGAATTCTCTGTGTTCCTGGGATGTAAATATGAATAATTAGGCTTCTAGTGATAACAGTGAGAGAACCGAATTCCAAAGAAGTTAGTGACATGCATAATAAGATCAGAGTTGAGACATCTATTCAGGTCCTCTGCTGTGCTCATTCTCAAAAAAATGTTTTTGGTAAAATATACATAACATAAATGTAGCATCTTAATTTTTTTTTTTTTTTTTTGAGACGGAGTCTTGCACTATTGCCCGGACTGGAGTGCAGTGGCACGATCTCGGCTCACTGGAACCTCCACCTCCTGGGTTCAAGCGATTCTCCTTGCCTCAGCCTCCTAAGTAGTGGGGATTACAGGTGCCCACCACCACACCCTGCTAATTTTTTTGTATTTTTAGTAGAGACAGGGTTTCACTATGTTGGCCAGGTTGGTCTGAACTCCTTGTGATCTGCCCGCCTCGGCCTCCCAAAGTGCTGGGATTACAGACGTGAGCCATCACGCCTGGCCAATCAACTATTTTTAAGTGTACATTTTAGTAGTGTTAAGTACATTAACATTGTTGTGCAACCAATCTCCAGGACTCTTCATATTGCCACACTGAAACGACATTAATCAAACAACTTCCCTTTCCCTTCTCCCCGCAGCTCCTGGCAACCACCATTCTATTTTCTGTCTCTATGAAGTCCCCTATTCTAGATATTTCCTATAAGTGGAATCATACAGTCTTTTTCTTTTTTGTGAGTGGCTCATTTCACAGCATAATATTTTCTGTAAGTGTCATCCATGTTGTAGCATGTGTAAGAATTTTCTTCTGTTTTACCACTGAATAATTTTCCATTGTATGTATATACTGCATTTTGCTTATCTATTCATCCAACACTTGGGATGTTTTCACTTTTTAGCTATTGTGAATAATGCTGCTATGAACATGAGTGTACAAATATCTCTTCAAATTCTTCCTTTCAATTCTTTTCAGTATGTACCTGAAGTAGAATTGGTGTATCATGTGGTAATTCTATTTTCAATTTTTTGAGGAACTGCTGTACTGTTTTTCATGGCAGCTACACTGTTTTACATTCCCACCAACAGTGTACAAGCGTTCCAATTTCTCCATATCCTTGCCAACACTTATTATTTTATCTTTTTTATGGTAGCCATTCTAATGGGTGAAAGATGGTTTTAATTGGCATTTCCCTAATGATTAGTGATGTTGAGCATTTTTTATGTGCTTATTGACCACTTGTATTTCTTCTTTGGAGAAATCTCTAAGTCCTTTGTCCATTTTTTAATGGGATTTGTTTGCTTTTTTGTTATTGAGTTGTAGCTATGTTTTCTGGATATTAAGGTCTCATGGAATAAGGGCCCACAATCCCACAATATTCACAAATATCTTCTCCCATTCCATAGTTTTTTCACTCTGTTGATTGTGTCCTTTGAGCCAATCTGGTACTCTTGACATTACACTGTCTCTGTTTAGTTACAGAGGTGGTGGAAGGTGTAGATGGAGTGATAGCAATAGGACTCTACTCTTGTTATCAGACTAGGTTCACAAGGTCAAAAAGCAGCAGGGAGGGGATAGACCCCGAGCCACACAGTATGGGAATGTTGTGGGCTGGAGGGATGTGCTTTTATCCTGTCTAACATCAAGATTTATCATAGGGACTAAGGTAGTCCTAGGCCAATAGATGGGAGCCAAGTGATCCCAGCCGTGGTAAAAGAGGGGATGCCAGGCCAGGTATGGTAGCTTATGCCTGAAATCCCAGCACTTTGGGAGCCGGAGGCAGGGGGGTTGCTTGAGGCCATGAGTTTGAGATCAGCCTGGGAAACACAGCGATACTCTGTCTCTACAGAAAATCTAAAAATTAGCAAGGCATGGTGGTGCTCACCTGTAGTCCCAGCTGCCTGGGAGGCTGAGATGGGAGGATCACTTGAGCCCAGGAGTTCAAAGTTGCAGTGAGCTATTCTTGTACCACACCACTGCACTGCAGCCAGGGCAACAGAGTGAAACTCTGTCTCTAAAAAAAAAGAAGGAAAGAAACTCAAGGAAACAACTAAGAACCATCCAACCAAATGCAGGTCCTGGAAGAACCTGGTGTCCAGGTGAAGTTTATTATCAATTAAATTAATTCTAGCCTTTTACTAAAAGAACACTTGGGACCTCAGGCAAAGACATCACCAGCTTGATTGAGGTTAGAGCTTATTATTTATATACAAAGATGAAGCCAGGAATTGTATGTGTCAATGCCAGATTATTAGTGGAAGATTGGTACCATTCAGATAAAAGCTAAAGCTACCTGAATCAAATTAGGAATAAAACCCAGGTCACCAATGAGCCAGGATTGGTGGATCAAAGCTGGTTTAATTTACAGGAGACTTTAAGGTAAATTGGTTTTGTATCTGAAGTCATAATTACTATTCTTTCCCTGTTTGTGTTTAAAGGATCTGTCTCCAGCGGGACCAGAAAACCATATGTGGCAATACTTATAAACTGCCTCTAGCTATATAGATTAATACAGAATCATCTTTCTGTATGAGTTTTCCACCAATAAACATGTGTAGATATAAGCAAAGCTTTCCATTAGAGCAAATTGTTTCAGGTCCCACTGCCACCAACAGATGACATCAGTGGCTGCATACTCAGCTGTCACACTCTTTTTTTTTTTGAGACAGAGTCTCACTCTTGTTGCCCAGGCTGGAGTGCAGTGGCGTGATCTTGGCTCACTGCAACCTTTGCCTCCCAGGTTCAAGTGATTCTCCTGCCTCAGCCTCCTGAGTAGCTGGGATTACAGGCACACGCCACCACGCCTGGCTAATTTTTCTATTTTAGTAGAGATGGGGTTTCACCAGTGGTGGCCAGGCTGGTATCGAACTCCTGACCTCAGGTGATCCACCCGCTTCGGCCTCCCAAAGTGCTGGGATTACAGGCATGAGCATCCACGCCTGGCCAGCTGTCACACTCTTTATTGGTCTGTGCTTATTATTGAGCTGTTTTAAGGACATTATTAAATGCATACTATTTGAAAAGTACTATTGAGAAAATATTGAAAGCGTTCATACCTAGAGACTTAAGATTATAAGGAAAACAAAGTAAGTCACTTGTAAAAATTGAAAGTGGTGAGGAAATGACAAATGCGGCATATGCAGCTGAGATGAGTCATTTGACAGTAGGAATGATTCTCAAGGATAAACAGTGAAACATTGGTGAACAAAAAAGTCTATGCAACTGACAATAGTAGGCAAGACAAGGAAAAGAGGTGTACGTGGTTGAAAGATCAACCCTATTATTAGATGAGGTAGCTTTTTAGGCTTTAGTTTATTAGACTAAGTATTCTAAAGCCAAGAGTTAGTTAGAGAACTTGAAGACAGAACAAGGTGATGCTACTGCCAAGGAAACCTCTGTCTCGAGCTGTGTATGGTTGAATGGGTTCATGGCCATTTGAATCTGCACAAAATCAAAGTGAGAAGAGACAAATATATGTGGGATGGCATGACATCTAAGAAGTTACCAGAAACTAATTTCAGAGATCCTCAGAGCTTCGGGTCGGGATTAACTGTCTCAAAAACTTTAGATGCTTACAGAACAAACATCAGCTAGGAAAATGTGTGTCTGGTTTTAACACTTCAAAGTCATGACCCATGTCCATTTTGGTAGGAATGTACCTGGAGGCTGCAGACTGAAAACAGGCTCTCTTACTTTGGATTTATGAAAGGCTTTTCAAAGAGCCTTTTAGAACTGGAACATAATTGCATAGGTAGACAGACTTCTGAAAATCTATTGAATTTGTTTTCCCTTTTGCTGTACATTACTGCTGCAAATTCAACATACTTGCTTTCTCTGTTGTCATAGGTATCATTAGTAAAATGCTCTACACATGACCAAGGGCAATGCCTACGGATGTGCAACTAGAAAAGCACATCTCAGGATGTGCTCCATGAGTTCTGTAGAAAAAAAAAGATTCCATGATCTAGTAGGTTTGGAAAATGCTAAAATAATCAGCTAATAAAATTTGAATGTGTTTATTTTTGAGGAAGGTACATGAAAATGATTGTCATTAGAATACACCTACCTGACTTCCAACTACAGGGAGCATCAATGACAGTGGGCACCAGCCACTGCCCTCTAAACCTATCACCCCATTCGTGGTGGGCCAGGTTTCCCAGAGGCTGTTCTCAGGCAATAAACAAGAGCAATAGCATAGTAAGTTAGGCCCATTCCTGGAAGACACAAGACTCTTGGACAGCCAACTTTGGCTCAAGGACTTCCAGACAGCAGTGCTGAATGTTTAGACTTCACAGCAGTTGAAAACACTTCAACTCTATTTTTCTTGTCTCTCTCCTTTTCTTAGGGTCAGTCTTCATTATGATCTGACAGCTCTCCCAGCCTCTCCCAACTCCTTCTCCAATTTATTTCTTAGGCATTTCCCCTAATACAATTCTTCCCTATTCATTTCTATCTCGGTGTCTGCTTCTTAGACAACCCAGACAATTATAACAACTCATAAACCTCTGTGCACACAAAAAATAGCAGCTGAATATATGAGGCAAAACTTATTAGGAATAAAAGAACTGTATACAAGTGTAATATTACTGGGAAATTTTAATATAACTCTTTCATAATCAGTCATAAGTAACAGACAAAAATTAAAAACGTAAAGAAATTTATGAATCTATAATCTCTCAAATAGATAATAAAAATTATTTTCTAGGTTGATGGAACAAAGAAAGGAGAGTTCATTTCTATCATCATCCAATAGAGTTAGAATAGAGTTATAATAAATAATAAAAAGTGATGAAGTTAATACTTTGAAATTATGAAATATATCCTTAGACAAACTTTGGAACAAAAAGGCAATCAAAACTGAAACCTAGCATAACTAACCCTCAGAAGACAATGTAGAAACTTAAATGCTTTTATAAAAAGAGAAAGATTAAAATTAATGAAAATTAGTCCTGGCGCGTTGGCTCATGCCTGTATTCTCAGTACTTTGAGAGGCCGAGGCAGGTGGATCACTTGAGGTCAGGAGTTTGTGACCAGCCTGGCCAACATGGCGAAACCCCGTCTCTACTAAAAATACAAAAATTAGTCGGGCAATGGTGGCATACGCCTGTAATCCCAGCTACTTGGGAGGCTGTGGCAGGAGAATCGCTTGAACCTGAGAGGTGGAGGTTGCAGTGAGCAGAGATCACGCCACTGCACTCCAGCCTGGGAGATAGAGACTCCTCTGCCTTAAAAAAAAAAAAAAAAAAAAAAAAAAAAAAGTAATGGGCCAGGCACGGTGGCTCACTCCTTGTAACCTCAGAACTTTGAGGCCGAGGTGGGCGGATCACGAGGTCAGGAATTCGAGACCATCCTGGCTAACACGGTGAAACCCCATCTCTACTAAAAATACAAAAAATTAGCTTGGTGTGGTGGCGGGCACCTGCAGTCCCAGACCCAACTACTCGGGAGGCTGAGGCAGGAGAATGGCACGAACCCGGGAGGCAGAGCTTGCAGTGAGCCGAGATCGCGCCACTGCACTCCAGCCTGGGCGACAGAGCGAGACGCCATCTCAATAAAAAAAAAAAAAGGAAGGGAAAGGGAGGGGAGGGGAGGGGAGGGGAGGGGAGGGGGGGAGGGGAGGGGGGGAGGGGGGGAGGGGAGGGGGGAGGGGGGGAGGGGAGGGGAGGGGGGAGGGGAGGGGAGGGGGGGAGGGGGGGAGGGGGGGAGGGGAGGGGAGGGGGGGAGGGGGGGAGGGGAGGGGAGGGGAGGGGAGGGGGGAGGGGAGGGGAGGGGAGGGAGCCTTGTCAAAGTGCAGGTTAACTACCTCTGCAGTACACCTAGTGGCCACTCGAGTTGCCTTATTCCGCCCCATATCACCCCTGTATTGCCCCACACAGAGTGCAATGCCTAGTATGCAGTAGATGCTCAAAGTTGCTCTCCTCAATGTGTGTACGAAACAAGATTTAAACAAACTTTTGGTTTTGTCTTGGGAAAGAACGAATCAAAACTTCTATTATCTGGGGAGAATGCTTTAAAAATTCTCTATTTTCTCTCCCTCACTGAGAACACAGTGATTCCACACACAGTTGTGAGGCCTCTTGGTGTGCTTCCCCTCCTAACCTGCTAAGAGGGAGACTTGGGGCTGTCACTTAGCTTTCAGACTTGTAGGGAAGAATGTGATCCCAGATTAGCAGAGCATGTAAGCCATGTTCTCTCCCACCCAAATGCTCAATTGGTCTTGTCTTTCACTATCTCCAGTTCCTAAGATGAGTCGTCAGTACTGGGGTGGGGTTGGGTGGAGAGGCAAGTACCTAGGGTAGGGGCTTGGAGATAGAGCTCCCCAGGCACTTCAGAAAGAGGTTCGTTCAAAGTGACATAGGGTTCTACATGGGAGCATTCCAAGAAAAGGGACGCTGAGGACAGATGTCACTTCATGTCTTGCTGCACCTGTGAGCCCATGCCATCCTCTTGTAATTTGCAGGTGTGTGTTTTATAACTGCTCCCTGGGCAGTTCTAAATGACAAAGCATTCGTGCTGGCAGCACCCTCTACTTCTCACTTACTCCTCCAGGCCTCTGGCGAACACAGGGCTCAGAGGAACTACCTTCTTCAAGAATCACGGACGTGGCTGGTTTTCTCAGGAAGGGGTCTCGGCTGAGCATTAAAATAAAACGGTGCTTGGTTTTTGTACAGGAAACCTTTTCTTCCTTCAGTTTCAACAACCCCAGGCATTACCTACTGTAGCTGATGCTTTTGCTCTTACCATATCCTGCTACCTTTCCTGTCTCCAAAGCCCTAAATAGATTCCTCAAGGAATGTCTTCCTAAATTCCCTCAGGCAAGAGGAGGAAGGGCTGTCTTTATTATGTCTTTACTCTAAAGTCTTTAGCATAAAAAAGCAGCTCTGGATTCATTTCATTAATAAAACAGAGTGAACAAAAGTCCTCCTGCATCAGTTTTACTCATGAGATCAAATTGTGTGATAACCACTCACCCATACCACAGAAACCACACAAAACTGGACCTGCCTAAGGAAGTTAAACTTAGAATCCCGTTTCCCCTTGGGGCTGAGTTTCCATTTTCTCATTTATTAAATAACTTGTAAACTATTTTTTAAATTAACTAGCTCTTGGTCCAGGAGCTGTGGCTCACGCCTGTAATCCCAACACTTTGGGAGGCCGAGGCGGGCAGATTACCTGAGGTCAGGAGTTCGAGGCCAGCCTGCCCAACATGGTGAAACCCAGTTTGTACTAAAAATACAAAAATGAGCTGGGTGTTGTGGCACATGCCAGTAATCCCAGCTACTCTGGAGGCTGAGGCAAGAGAATCACTTGAACCCGGAAGGCGGAGTGAGCTGAGATCACGCCACTGCACCCCAACCTGGGCGACAGAGCAAGACTCCATCTCAAAAAAATAATTAATTAATTAACTAGCTCTCTAAACGTTCAATAAAACTTATCCTGAGCCGCATGTTGTGCCTGTGTGGTCTCACCCAAGGGAAGGTGAGCACATTCATATTGGCTGGTGAAAATCCAGGCAATATGTCTGTATGGTTCTTAAAGAACTGAGAAACAGCAAGAATACGCACAATATTTGTAAATAACTTGAGCCTTTATAAAATGATCCTTTTTTGGAAAATACACAGAAAAAGTTGTGCGCAGGTTTACCTAGAATGTCAATTGGAATGAAGACTGTGATGGCTTAGCCATCACAGGTCATTCTTATAGAAGCAGCATTGTCTGTGAAAGGCTTTCAGGATTCATCCTTAGAAAGGGTTTATTTTCCTCTCACTTTCTCCACTGGTGTAAGATTACAGCTTTCCAGCGTCTCTTGGTGAGAAGGAAATACAACTTGATTCCTCTGTCTGATAAAGTAGGCTTGGGGCTTTTTTGTTTTTTTGAGATGGAGTTTCGCTCTTGTTGCCCAGGCTAGAGTGCAATGGCACGATCTCGGCTCACTGCAACCTCTACCTCCCGGATTCTAGCAATTCTTCTGCCTCAGCCTCCTGGCTAATTTTGTATTTTTAGTAGAGACAGAGTTTCTCCATGTTGGTCAAGCTGGTCTCAAACTCCTGACCTCAGGTGATCCGTCCACCTTGGCTTCCCAAAGTGCCGGGATTAGGAATACAGGCGCAAGCCACTGCGCCTGGCCAGCTTGGGGCTCTTAATGGCTCCCTCCTTGCTTGTAGGCAGGGCTGCAGCATCTGCCTTCCCTTCTTCCGCACTGCACCCTTCTTCCCTCGGACTTGAACTTTGCATCTTGGTTCACTCCTGGGTGTTCACCACTGTCCTTCTGATTGCTATGTCCAGCAGCAGCACATGACCATCCAAAGGAAGCCACTGTCCCTTTAGAGTCATGCTGGAGTTTGTCAGCAACATTTACTAGGTACCCCCTGCCTCTTTGCCATGAGGTCTTGGCAGGTACATCACTTATGACAAATTGTTTTCAGATTAAGAGAGGTCTTATTGGGAGCAAGGGAATTTAATTAAAGTCAAAGCCCAAATTCTGGCCAAATGAGTGTCCTCTGTATGTATGGCTGATGCCTAGGTTCTCTGTAAATACATCAATACCAGGGAGCTCACCTGTCCTCTTCCTTCCTTCCTGCTAATGGGGACCCTAAGATGTTTAGTGAGAAAAAAGGGTAACTTTGTTTCTTTCCAAACTACCTTCACTTGGACACATCCATGATGAATACCCTCTCTCAATCATCTCTGAGCTCCAGGTAGAGCTCCCTATGAATGGACATTCCTGTGACCTCTTCCAGATCTGGGATATTCCAGAAGATGATGTATGGAAGAAGCTGTTTTTCCGCAGAATGCTCATTTGACTTCCAATATTTGTTAAACTGCATCTTATATGACTTCTGAATCCAAAGAGTCATGGTGAGGAATCCACCAACCCCAGATGGGTCCACGACTAGCAGGGATTCTTCAAACTCCTTAAAGTTGTCTGAACTTTTCTGTATGTGATTTTTATTCTCCAGAGGCGAGAATCCACAGTGCTCATGGTGTATTCAAAGAGGTCTGCAACACTGAAAAGATTGAAAACAGATGTTTACTTGGACTACTTTTCTCATTCTGGTATCCCATGAGACTCTGATGACGTTTGCAGCTTTGACTCCAAACCCAAACCTAAAAAATATTTATCTGAGAGTGTCAGAGTAAAATTTCTGGGTAAAATCTCTGCCTGCTGAAGAAGGCACTTGTACTTCTAAAGAGGGCATGGCACGCCCCTACCTTAATATGATTAATGATTTCCAGCAATATTTGAGGCTTCCTGGGCAGTACCACAAATCATTTCCTACTTTTCACAATAATTACCTTGATAAGAGGCTTCCTTAAGAAAGACCAAAAAAATTTATCTGGTCCCTGGACACTATCCTAAGATCTTAGTCAATTCTGTCCCAATCCTGGGCTTCCCCTGGGTCAGCCCTGTCTTCAAAGCTCAGAGTCATACTTACAGGATGGCAGAAGAATCACTTCATCCTAGGAAAGCTTCCTCAGAAAGCTGAGAAGGTGTCCCATGTTTGCGGAACGACAGAACTCACTAGAGGAGCATTGTATTTGCTAGTGTGGCTGGGACTTGGAGGGCCACAGCCTAAGATGGTCAATATGGTGGGTCTTATCAGTTCCGGGGGCTTCTAACTTCAGTTGCCTCTCTCTCTATGATCCCACCCAGTCTTTTAATACTTCCTGCTCTGATCAACATTAGGGGCTATCACCTTTCCACCTTGTGCAAATGCCTGATGATGTTTCTTTCCCCCGCCCATCCCTCCACCTTTTTTGAGATGGAGTCTCACTCTATTGTCCAAGCTGGAGTCCAATAGCACGATCTCTGCTCACTGCAACAGGGTTCCAGTAATTCTCCTACCTCAGTCTCCCGAGTAGCTGGGATTACGGGCATGGGCCACTACTCCTGGCTAATTGTATTTTTAGTAGAGTTGGCATTTGGCCATGTTGGCCAGGCTGGTTTCAAACTCCTGACCTCAGGTGATTCACCCACCTCAGGCTCCCAAAGTGCGGGGATTACAGGTGTGTGCCACCGTGCCCGGCCTAAATGCCTGATGATATTTCTTTACTCCAGATGTGCATTCTAACTTCTGTTTATCATCACTGGGATGTCCCTTGGACAGATTAATCAGCATCTCAAACTTAATATGCTCAAAACTTTATTCTTGATCTCTGGTCACAAATATGCCTGTTTTCTTGTGTTCTTCATTTAGTTATAAATGCATATCTTCTTCCGGTTGATCATACGAAAAAATTTGGGTGTTACCTTTGAAACTTCTCTCTGTGATCCTCCTTAACCAATACATCAACAAGTCCTGGCTGGGCATGGTGGCTCATGCCTGTAATCCCAGCACTCTGGGAGGCCAAGGTGGGCGGATCATGAGGTCATGAAATTGAGACCATCTTGATCAACAGGGTGAAACCCCATCTCTATTAAAATACAAAAATTAATGGAGCATGGTGGCACATGCCTGTAGTCCCAGCTAATCAGGAGGCTGAGGCAGGAGAATCGCTTGAACCTGGGAGGTGGAGGTTGCAGTGAGCCGAGATGGTGCCAGTGCACTCCAGCCTGGTGACAGAGGGAGACTCTGTCTCAAAAAAACAAAAACAAAAACAAAACAAACAAAAAACAACAAAAAAAAACACAAGTGCTGTCTATTCTATCTCCAAATTATATCTCATATCTACCTACTTCTCTCCATTTCTACCACCTCCACCAGGTTACCATTGTGCCTGGTGAGAGGGTTACATTTCTGACATGATTCCATGCTTGTCCCTCTCTGATCCTTTTTACCTCATGCAGCCAGAGTGAATTTTTAAAAAGGCAAATCTAGCCACTGCCCTTGCCAGCTTAAAACACCCACAATGGCTTCTTATCGCATGTGGGATGAAGTCCAAACCTCTTACCTGCAGGTGACAGTTCCCATGAGATCTGACTCCTGCCTCTCTTGTCAGCCCCATCTCTTGTTCCTCCTGGCTTTGTGTCTGCATTCCAGCCACATTGGCCTTGCGGGACCTTCAACACGTTCAGTTTGTTCCTCTACAGCAATGGATCTTCATTCTCTCTCTCTCCTGACTTGGGATTAGTGGGAAGATATCACAGATCACTCTATTCTGTAAGGAGAGCAGAAAAAGAGCATCCTTCAGCTTGAGAAAGACCTAAAAATTCTCTCTCCTGTACCACACAGTGGAAGTCATTGATGTTATGACACTTGCTCTATTATGCTACGATACCTGGTCCCACCCCAGCTCTAGCGGCTTAAGGATTGTTGTTTCATCATTTTATATTCACTGAGTATGATCCCCAAAGGCAAGTTATTTTAAGCTACCACTTATTTAAAGAGCTATGTTCACAAATGGAAGGTAGCGCCAAGCTATCTTTTCCTTTAGGGTCCAATTTGTGGCTGCACTAGGTCCACCGAGACCTCAATTCTACTTTTAATCATTAAAGAGGCCGAGGAGATGTTATCAAATTTTCTCCCATAATATTTAGAATAAATAAAATGATCTTAGACAATGGGAGAGAAACATGAACAGAATAATGTGTGTATAATTTTAACTTTTGGTAGTGTAAGCATTTGAATAACGTTGGTTTTTAGAGATTTCGTATTTTCCACTCTTTGCTATAAAATTATTAAGCACATACAAAAGTAGAAAATACTATAATAAACTCTCATGTATTTGTTACTTAGTTCAATAATTATTAACTTGTGGTTGATACTGTTGCACAAATGCCTCCTCCAATGTTCCATTGTTTCCCTCCCAAACTCAGTTCTTTTCCAGCAAATCCCTGACACATCATTTCATCTGAAAATATTTTACTATGTATTTCTGCAAGTTATGGGCTTATTATTATTATTATTTTTTGAAACAGAGTCTCGCTTTGTCGCCCAGGCTGGAGTGCAGTGACACAATCTCAGCTCACGGCAACCTCTGCCTCCCAGGTTCAAGCAATTCTCCTGCCTTAGCCTCCTGAGTAGCTTGGACTACAGGTGCGCCACCACACCCAGCTAATTTTTGTATTTTTAGTAGAGACGGGGTTTCATTATGTTGGCCACGCTGGTCTCAAACTCCTGACCTTAGGTGATTCCCACCTTGGCCTCCCAAAGTGCTGGGATTACAGGTGTGAGCCACCACACCTGGCCAAGGGCTCTTTTAAAACATGATCAAAACATAAATATCGCACATAAAATTATTAATAATTTCTTAATATCATAAAATATTCAATCTATTCAAATTTCTAAGATTATCTCAAAGTATTTTACAGCAGTTGGTTTATTTGAATCAGGATCAATAGATACACATTGCGTTTGGTTGATATAACTCTTAAGTTTCTTTCTTTTTAAAATTTTTTTTGACAGGGTGTCACTTTGTTAACCAGGCTGGAGTGCAGTGGTGTGATTTTGACTCACTGCAGCCTAGACCTCCTGGGATCAAGCAATCCTCCTGCCTCAGGCCCCCAAGTAGCTGGGACCACAGTTGCATGCCACCATGCCTGGCTGATTTTTGTATTTTTTATAGAGACAGGGTTTTGCCACGTTGCCCAGGTTGGTCTCGAACCCCTGGGCTCAAGTGATCTGTCTGCCTCAGCCTCCCAAAGCGCTGGGATTCCAGGCTTAAGCCACTACGCCAGGCCCCTCTTGTTTATTTTAATCTATAGATTTCCCTCTCTATATTTTTCTTTTCAATGTGTTTGTTGAAGAGATTAAAGAAACCAGGTCATTTTTCCTATGAATTTTACTAATTGCATCTTCATGGTGTCATTTAACGCATTCTGTTTTCTTAAAAGCTGGCAATTCAATCTGGAAGATTTATCAGATTAAATTTCTGTTTTTTGGCAGGAATGACTCATAGTTGTGTACTTTCATCAGGAGACACATAATGTCTGATTATCTCCCTTTATGGGATGTTAAGATTGATTGCTGGGTCAAATCTTGTCAGTCTTTCCATAATTTTAAAGTTCCCCATCAGTTTCTCATCTAACAGTTTTAGCAGTCATTGGTGATCACTGCCTACATCCATTACTTTACTAGGAGTTCTGAAATGATGTCATTATATTAATCCTTCTTCATTTAGTAGCTGGAGTGCTGCTATAAAGAAAGACTTTTCTTCATGAGCTATATGATAATCCCTAAGCATAGTTTGTAAAGGAAAAGCAGAATAAATGCTTGACTGTTTTCTCAGTTTTAGAATAGTTCCCTAACATCTGCTAAATGTGACCAAAGACCAATGGTGGCTCATTTTCAGTATCATTTTGAACTCATGAATGATACAATATTAGAAGCCTAAATATTATTTGCGGTTACTATCCTTTTTGAGAACCCAACTGTCCCATCTTTAGTGAGGGTGTCTCTTTAATTTGGCTTCTCAACCCTTTTGACATCACCCTAGTGATCTTTAAAAGATTTCTCTTATGTTCTAGTATAATAAGATGCTCTAGCTCATCTTGTCTATTTCCTGAACCAGATCTGACACAGTCATTTCTCCAAAGAGACTTCACGTGCGAAACGATGTTGCGAGATCACAGTCTGAGCACTAGACGTGCTCCTTGCTCCATATTTCTTTGCCCCTTTCAGTGGACAAGGCTATATAAAATATGCACTTTTAAAAGAAAAGGATACCTTACGAGCATAGTGACATAGTCAGCTGAAATAGAAGACAGAGAAATTTTACTTTTTGATTTTATATTTGTGACTCTAATCACTTATCCTGAAATTCTTGGTTCTGGCAAAGTTAACATAATTATTTGTTTTTACCTTACATGTCTTAGTTTCAGAAAAATGATGCCCAAATCATTCAATATAAATATTGAATACAGTTTAAAATTCCTCCGCAGTAGGACATGCCTGTTACGTTTTTCTGTTTTCAAATAACTACAAAGATTTTCTTAACATTATAAGAGTAATATTCTTAGAGGAGTGTAGAGCTGAGAGGAAATACTTTTGTGTTTATAGCGAAAAAAGTATATTGAAGTGGAATAGTTGGTCAGATTACACAGTGGAGACGATGGAGCCTACTAAGAAGGTAAGACTCCCACACTTGGACTCACTTCAGCCTTCTTGTCAAATTGGCATCGGTAACTATGACACACTTACTGGCCACAGCTGTGGGAGAATATCAGTGCACTAGCAGAGATTTTTCTAATGAAACTGCCTGACATACACAGAAAAATGGGTGACAATTTACCACTAGATTCCCTTCTAAACAGTCTACAAACATTCTTGTCTTCTACCAACCCCCAGAGTAAATTCACCCCTTTGCTCAAATTTTAGTTCACCTAGAACCTAATAAATGGTTAATATTATCTTTTTTTTATGATGGCGTTTTGTCAACAGATTTCATTATTTTGCCTTTAGTATAGAGCAAGTTTTGCTCTATTCCCTTTGGGAATCGTAAACAAGGTGTACTAGCCTTCTGGTTAAATGGTGAGCATGCCACCCAGGTGAAGTGCATCCGCATCTGTGTTCTTTAAGAGATGGTAACTGGGATTCGCTGTTTTATACAAGAATCACCAGAATAGCATTTATGTAGCTTTCAATAAAATATTTTCTCAGGGGACAAACAAATAGTAAGTCATTTGGATATTAAATACTAGGAAGAGTGTTTTTTTGTTTGTTTGTTTTTAAGTAATGTACATGGGCAGTGCTCTGCCCATCCTGATTTTTGTGTAAAAATTCTCCTTTCCATCTCTCAGCAATAAAAACTTATTATGGTCATACAGGGACCCTGCAGGGGATAGACACTGTGCACACGTAGCCTTCTTGCATTTTAGTATCATTACTTATTAAGTTGGTAATGTGCTTTGGACCCGCAGGAAGTCAAGTCGTCTTTGAGAGCTGCAGCATGACTCGATTAAGTGATCGAAGTCCTTAAACTCAGGGACTGAGAAGACCCATCTTAGCTCTACCCTGATGTGTTGGGTTGTTTTGGACAAGGCACTTAGCCTGTCTATGCCCACCTACTATGAAAGCATGCTGCCTAGTATGAAACCTCCAGGGGCATGGTAAGAAAGTGTCCATGGTACTCCCAGGGTACACTTTTATGGACACTCAAGAGAAACACTTATCTTCCTCACTCTACATAAAGTCTGTTCTCTTGGTTTATGCTAATTTTGTATTTGCAACCCACATTTCTTTTTTCTTCTCCTCTTTGATTCATGATCTATTTGAAGGTTCTGCTCAAGAATCTATTTCTGACACTCCATTCCTGAGTGCCACTGCCAGTTTTGATTGTCTTTTTCTCCCTTCCCTTATTTTACAACTAAGCGGTATAGATGTGGAGGGATTTATATCACCCTACAGAGGAGTTTTTTTTTTTTTTTTTTTGGAGACGGAGTCTTGCTCTGTCGCCCAGGCTGGAGTGCAGTGGCACGATCTCGGCTCACTGCAAGCTCCGCCTCCCGGGTTCACGCCATTCTCCTGCCTCAGCTTCCCGAGTAGCTGGGACCACAGGTGCCCGCCACCACGCCCGGCTAATTTTTTTTTTTTGTATTTTTTAGTAGAGACGGGGTTTCACCGTGTTAGCCAGGATGGTCTCGATCTCCTGACCTCATGATCCGCCCACCTCGGCCTCCCAAAGTGCTGGGATTACAGGCGTGAGCCACCGTGCCCGGCCCCAGAGGAGTTTTTGTGTCCTGCTGTGTCCCAGGCCCACGCCCCATTGCAGTGTGCTGCAGTGAGCATTGCTTGCATGTGAGCATGTAGGCTCTTTGGAGGTCTTCCTGTGGGTTTCAAATTTGTTTATCATTTCATGTTTGTTGTGGTTTGAACATGACACTGATGGATCTGTTTAAAAACCTCAACCTTTTCCAACAGAATATCACATTTATAACTTGTAACGTTCACTTCAATCAGCAAGGTCAAAAAGTTATAGTTAGGTGTAATGACCATGAATGTACTGTCATCCCACACATGTCAAAGGCCTCCTTGAGAGCTCCTATGTTTGCTGTGGCCACATTAATTATTTAGTGGTGTGATAGCTTACTTTCTATTTCTATGCTAATTTGAAACTTTGGAAAGCAACAATCACATTACCTCAGTCCTTTGCTGCCTGTTATTTTTGATGAATGATTGATTGTGGTGCCCTTTTTAAAAAAAAGATTAGCAGTCAGAACAAGATATTGGTTAGAGACAATGCCTACCGTCACCTATGCAAGGACTAATTTCATAAATGTTGTGTTCCAAGAAGAGTTTTGTCCTGGCAAATAAATGTGTATGCCTTCTTTTATCACAAATTTTAAAATATTACCTATAAATATTAAAATATATTATAAAATATATGCACATATATTATATTATTCTGTTTTATATGAAAGAAAACTTTGGCTGGCCGCGGTGGCTCATGCCTGTAAATCCCAGCACTTTGGGAGGTCGAGGCAGGCGGATCATGAGGTCAGGAGATCGAGACCGTCCTGGCTAACACGGTGAAACCCCATCTCTACTAAAAATACAAAAAGTTAGCCGGGCGTGGTGGTGGGCACCTGTAGTCCCAGCTACTTGGGAGGCCGAGGCAGGAGAATGGCATGAACCCAGGAGGTAGAGCTGACAGTGAGCCAAGATCACACCACTGCACTCCAGCCTGGGCGACACAGTGAGACTCCATTTCAAAAGAAAGAAAACTTTATCTCAAGTTCATTACCAAATGCTGCTTCCTTTAAAGAATGGTGGGGATTTTTATTTTAAGTATCTGCATTTGTTTAAATCCACAAGTGTTTCCAGTCCTTTTGCAAATCACCGCTGCATATATACTGTTTTAATTTTTACTGTGGAACATTAGGTCCAGGGGAGTCATATAGGGTCGGGAAATAAATATCACTCTAGCATCTATTCACTTCCTTCTTGATTTTGGCAATTTTAGTGGGTGAAGGAGAAGTTTCTCTCTCTATTTAAAAAACAAATTTTGTAGGTCTTCGGCCCTAAATTTTCTCCGTTTCTTCATAGCAATACCCCATATCATTGTTTCAATTCTTCTTCATAACATGATAGAAAAAGTGAACCATGTTTGTCCAAAATCCAACATCCAAATTGTCAAAAATCCAATTTGTGGCAGTTTTCTTGACTCCAGGTCATTGGACAAATGCCTTTAATAATGAAACCACAGTGGCTTGTAATATTTTGCCTTTGTGTTTAGGATCTTTTTCACTTCAAACAACCTCCACAATCCTGCTGTTAGGGTATGTGCAGTAATCGATATCCTGTATTTCCCGACTTGGCTGCAGAGAACAGAACATCCAGTGCACATGCCAGCCTAACATGACAGCCCCTTAGAGTGACAGGCATTGCCTTTTTTTACTCAGATTTATTTCTTACCCTGCCCCCAAAAACAACAATTTTGCAGACTCTTGTGCCAACTGGTTTCTAACTAGATTCAGAAACAGAGAGGCACTGGCAGGAGCTGGGAGGATGAGTGGAATAGAGAGGCCAGAGTATTTCTCCCTCCTTCCCTGACACTCACCTGCTTCCGTGGCTTCTCCAGCAATGACTGAGTCTCCTCTGCAGTCCCAGATCCTACTAGCTAGGCCCTCCCTCCATGACCCTAGCCTCTTCCTGGGCCATCTCATAAATCCACCTCCCCTAAGTGGTCCTGGGCTTGGATTCTGAATACGCCCTTCATATTAGTTTCTCAGGGCTGCTCTAACAATGTGCTACAGACTGGGTATTTTAAAACTACAGAGATGTATAGTCTCACAGCTCTGGAGGCTGAAAGTTCAAAATCAGGGTGTCAGCAGGGCCGTGCTCCCTCTGGGACTCTGCATAGAATCTGTCCTCACCTTTTGCAAGCTTCCGGTGGTGGCCACAATCCCTGGCATTCCCTGGTTTGCAGCTGCGTTATTCTAGTCTGTCTCTGTCATCAGAAGGCCGTCTTGCCCCTATGTCTATCTCTGTGTCTCTTCTCTTTTCATAAGGACACTAGTCCTATTAGATTAGGGGCCCACTATTCCAGTCTAACCTAATTTTAATTTAAGTCATTACATTTGTGATGACCTAATTTCAATATACCTTTTTGAGGGGATCCAATTTGACCCATAACACCGCCTTCCTGTGTGGTCGCAGCTTGCCGCTATTGCCAATCTGATGTATCAAGTTGTTTGGGGCAAGTCACTTAGTTGAATCTCCTCTGAGATGCAAAGAACTGATGTCTTCTTTCACTGCCCCTTGTTGGCCACTTCAGCTCTTCCAGCACCTTCCTAACTAGTTCCCCTAATTAAATCCTTACCATTGAACTGTTTCATCTGGGCTTTATTTTTCTGAGTAGACCTTGATGGCTACACCAATAGAAGAGATATTTCTCCTTGTTTGTTTCTTTTGTTTCATATTCCTATTATTCCCTTGTTAGTATTGGTTTAAAGAGCAACAGAGGATAGTGCCAAACCTTTCCACTAGATGAAGAATTAGAGCAGGTGGCTCTCTCCCCCAAACAAGAGCTGCCAAAAAACATGTATTCACTTCAGAAAAATCCTTCAGCAGACTGATATACACCATGAGGCAATAATCATGATTAGCTTTTCTTTTTAAATTCTGAATGGGTACGACATCAGCTCTGAAACACAAAGGAGTGTCTAACAGATGTCAATCATTTGGCCTCATCAGAACGAGAAACAGAACAAACCAAAACAGTAACTTGGAATGTTTTTAATTTTCTTGGACTCCACTCCATCTCCCACATGGCATTATTTCTCAGTGAGTTGCTTTTATTTTCATTTGGTGCAACCCTTTATTTTCCTACAGAAACGTTCATACCTGTGAAAGAGACATCATAGTAGAAACCAGCTATGATGCCCACAGAACAGCTGTGGCCAAGGAATACTGAGATTATCTTCTCTGTCAGTCCCTGCAGGCATGATGGAGATGCTCTCTCTTTAGGTCCACTGGGTTAATTTGGCTCCCTGAAGACCCTGACAAAATGCCTTCTGTGGTGGCATTTTTGTTCCAGGAAAGCATTTTGTTAATTTTGTGATATAAAATACGTCTTGGGGTACATGGGAAGTAAATGATGATCAAAGAATGGGCTATGAAATCTTTCTAAAAAATGGTGGAGGAAACTTTCAAAGGCTGGATCTCAATGCCAATAAAATAAGGGCATACCAAAGGACTTCAGTTTTTTAAACTTATTTTTAATCTATTTAGAGACATGGTCTCACTCTGTCACCCAGGCTGGAGTGCAGGAGTATGATCATAGCTCACTGCAACCTTGAACTCCTGGGCTCAAGTGATCTTCCCACCTCAGCCTTCCAAGTAGCTGTGACTATGAGAGTGTGCCACCACATCTGGCCATCTGACTATTTTGTTGTTGTTGTTTCGTAGAGATGGAGTCTCACTATGCTGCTCAGGCTGTTCTTGAACTCCTGGCCTCAAGTGATCCTCTCACCTTCAGCCTCCCAAAGTGCTGCAATTACAGGAGTGAGCCACCATTCCCAGCCCAGTTTTAAAATTATTAATGTTGTGCAGACATCTAAAGACAGCCCAGAATGGGTAATTTGATTCATTAATTAATTGACCATTCATTCATTCATTCATTCATTCAGCAATGTTTACCCAGTGCCTGTTATATTTGAAGCCTGATTCTAGATAATGGGAATATATAGTGGAAAATAAGAAAGTCAGGGATTTTGCTCTCACAGATCTTAAACTCGAATAAAAGAAAAGACAGTTAATTAGTAAACAAGAAAATGACAGTGAATGATAAGGGCTTTAATAAAATTAAAAGAGGCAATGTGATAGAGATAGCTTGGGTGATTGCCTGGAAATCATCCTGGTTCCTCCCTTTCTCTTTGGGCAGGTGATATGGTTTGGCTTCGTGTCCCCACCCAAATCTCATCTTAAATTGCAGTCCCCAGGTGTTCAGGGAGGAACCTGGTAGGAGGTGATTGGATCATAAGAGCAGTTTCCCCCATGCTATTCCCATGATAGTGAGTGAGTTCTCACAAGATCTGATAGTTTTATAAGTGCTTGGCAAGTTCTTCCTTTGCTCATTCTCCTCTTGCCTGCTACCATGTAAGACATGCCTGCTTCCCCTTCTGCCATGATTGTAAGTTTCCTGAGGCCTCCCCAGCCATGTGGAACTTTTGAGTCAATTAAACCTCTTTCCTTTATAAATGTCCCAGTCTTGGGTAGTATTCTTTATAGCAGTGTGAAAACAGACTAATATAGCAGGGCAAGCCTCTCCAAGGACATGTCACTTGGGCTGGGGCTGAATGATAAGGGAGGCACAGCTTTGCAAAAGACCTGGGGAAAGAACATTTCAGGCAGAGAAAATATGAAGATTAAATTCTGAAAAGCAGGAATAAACTCAGGGAGTTGGAGAACCATAAGCAGCTGGCACTCAGAGTATACTGAGTTGTGGAATATGAAATCAGATTAAGTCAGAGGCCAGTAGGCCAGGAAATGTAGGGTCTTGTTGGAATTTCAATTTTATTTTGTCATCAGTGGGAACTTTTTGGAGGACTTTTAAACTATGGAAGAGAAATTATACAATCTAAGTGTGTAGAATAGACTTCAGAGAGGAAAGAATGAAACAAAGGAGACCAAAGAATTGTCCAGTGAGAGATGGTCCCTGAATTGGTGATGGTGGCCCTGGCAATGGACAAATATGAACAAATGCAAGGGGCGTTTTGGGAGTAGTGTTCACAAGACTTAGCAATGAACTGGGTGATGGGATGTAGTAGGCAGACATTAGGATGACCTCTGTTTATCCTCACCTCCTGATATTCATGCCCTTGTGAAGTCTCCTGTGTTTGAATATGGGGTGAGCCTATGACTTGTTTCTAACTAACAGAATATAGAAACAGTGATTGCATGGCACTTCTGTGAATGCAGTACATAAGATCCAAATGTCCGTTTTGATAGCAGACTCTTTATTAGCTCTCACCCTTGCTAGCATTGATGAAGCAAGTTTCTGTATGGAGAGGCCCTTATGGCAATTAATGATGTCTGATCAATAGCCAGTAAGGATCTCAGGCCTTCAGTCCAGTAACCCACAAAGAACTGAATCTTGCCAATAACTATGAGGAATTAGATAATTCCCCACTTGAGCCTCAGATGAGACTGCAGCCTGGGCAACGCCTTGATTGCAGCCTTATGAGAGACCCTGAAGCAGAGGAAGCTATGCCTGTATTCCTGCCCATAGAAACTGAGATCAGAAGTATGATTCAAGCCACTAAGTTTCTAGTAATATTGCTACACAGCAAAGATAATGATTATATGGAATAAACAGGAATGAAGAGTCAAGAATGACTTCTTGAACAACTGGATAGAAGGTAGAATAATTTACTGAAATGGGGAGGCTTGGGAAAGAATTCTACTCTTGAGAAATCAAGAGTAGAGGTTTCAAATAAGTGGTTGGATATGCACATAAGGAGCGTAGTAGAGAAAGGTGGTTGTCAGCAGCCTATCACTGGCATTTCCTTTATCCAGATGTGTAAAATCAATAGCGTAATTACCAGATCTCCCCTGCTCAGGAGTGCTGTGTAGGCTGGCCTAGGACGTGGGTTCTTCTTTTCTGCTCCTCCCCACTTTGCTGGACTTTATTCCCCTACACAACGCTTTGGTACCTCTGCTATTACCATATTCTCATTCTGCCTGTCTCCCTTTGCTCTTCATATCCTCCTGTCCTAGGTCCAGCTTTCGTAGCATCTTTTACCAAGATTTATTCCAGACAGGGGATCCTTTCAGATCTTCGCATTCTCTCCTCATTTCCCAGCCTGATCAAAACATGCCTTTCGATGCTCATTCACCAAGGATTCTGCTACCACATAGCAAATATATGCTGAGAGGTGGTGCTGTGTACGGAATATGGATTTGGAGAAAGGTTGGAATTTGAACTGAAAATCTACTACTCATGGGCTGAGAAAGACACATAACATCTTCATTTTCTCATCTGAAAAATAATGATAGCAATGATAGCAATGCCTACCTCCTAATGTTGTTTAAACATAAAATCACTGGAGACATAAAATGCCCAGTACAGTGCTTGGCACATAGCAGGTATGGTAAATCATACCTATTATAATCAAACTGACTTTTTCTAAAGTGAAAAAAATTATATCTGGCTAACATATTACCTTATAGCTCTTTTAGTCCCAAATTTAAAATAACCACATTCGATTTCTCTCAATGCTCTAGTCTATTTTTATCAGTATTTAAATGTGTTCCAGACACATCTGTCTTTAAAAAGAATTTTTTTTCAACCACTCCACTTTCCTCACTAGACAGCCTCATTATTTCTCCCCTTTCCTTCAGAATCATGCATTATGAGCCTTGTCTGCACTGTCTTCATTGCCTCGTGGCTACTTGTTACATTCTGTACAGTGTTCTGCACCTACTGTGCCACTTTTTTTTTTGAGACGGAGTCTCGCTCTGTTGCCAGGCTAGAGTGCAGTGGTGCGATCTCGGCTCATTGTAACCTCCACCTCCAGAGTCCAAGCAATCCTCCTGCCTCAGCCTCCTGAGTGGCTGGGACTACAGGCACGCCACAATGCCCAGCTAATTTTTTTGTATTTTTAGTAGAGACAGGATTTCACCATGTTGGCCAGGATGGTCTCAATCTCTTGACCACGTGATGCGCCTGCCTCAGCCTCCCAAAGTGCTGACATTACAGGCTTGAGCCACCGCGCCCGGCCTACTGTGCCACTTTTACTTCCAATGTCACCAAAGGCATTGTTGTTACTAAACCCGATGGCTATTTTTCAGTCCTTATCTTACCTGACCTCTTTGCAGCAATTAATTGTATAGACCACACTTCATTGTGGTAACATTCGCTTCTATCTGTGTTTCCCATAGGTGATCTTCATTCCCATGGCTTCAATGACTGACTATCCATGGGCTTATGTTTTCAGTCTGACTCTCTCCTGGACTCCTGAACTGCAAACCTAGCTCTCTTCTGGATCCCCCAAGCTCTTGTTACTCAATCAAATTTACTACTTTCCCATGAAACTGCTTCTTCCCTCATTCCATCTGTATGAATGGCACTACGGAGACTCAGCTTCCTAAGCCAGAGACCCTAAAGCCACACACCCCCCCACCACCCACTCCCTTTCCACTTCAAAGCCCTGTTGATTGTTGAGCTGCTGTGTTCTATAGATTCTGCTTCCACAGCAACTGTGGAATCTCATGACTGATCTCCACTCTCCTGGGGTGATATGGTTTGGCTGTGTCCCCACCCAAATCTCATCTTGAACTGTAACTCCCACAATTCCCATGTGTCATGGGAGGAACCTGGTGGGAAGTAATTGAATAACGGGGACCGTTTTCTCCCCTGCTGTTCTCATGATAGTGCATAAGTCTCACGAGATCTGATGGTTTTGAAAACGGGAATTGCCCTGCACAAGCTCATTCTCTCTTGCCTGGCCAGGTAAGAAGTGCCTTTCACCTTCCACCAGGACTGTGAGGCCTCCCCAGCCACATGGAACTGTGAGTCCGCTAAACCTATTTTTCTTCCCAGTCTCGTGTGTGTCTTTATCAGCAGCGTGAAAACGGACTAATACATGGGGCCACCTCATCACTGGCTGGATCACTGCACCTGCCCATTCCCTGGTCATCTTGCTTTCAGGTTTGCCCCTTTCCAGTCAGTTCTCTGCATTTAAGTGATCCTATTAAAATACAAGTCCACTCACATACTCCCCTGTTTTCAGCCTTTTCAGTGCTCTCTCACCCTATGTCTGATGTCCAAACTCTTTAGCATGGCATTTGGCGCCCTCATCATGGGGTACTTAGTGACTGCCCAGCATTTTATTCACATCTTTCCTTACCCCCATACTCCCTATTTCAGTCACACTCAACTATTTGCAGCGACCCCATATTTCACACTCTTTTGTGACCTTTCCTTTCTTCTCTTGTCTTGTCTTCTCTTTTCTTTCTTTTGACGGAGTCTCACTCGGTCCCCCAGGCTGGAGTGCAGTGGCGCGGTCTCGGCTCACTGCAACCTCCGCCCCCCGGATTCAAGCGATTCTCCTGTCTCAGCCTCCCGAGTAGCTGGGATTACAGGCGCCTGCCACCGTGCCCAGCTAATTTTTATATGTTTAGTAGAGATGGGGTTTCACCATCTTGGCCAGGCTGGTCTTGAATCCCTGACCTGGTGATCCACCCGCCTCGGCCTCCCAAAGTGCTGGGATTACAGGCGTGAGCCACCACGCCCCGCCGACTCTTGCTTTATTTTAAGTTATTTTCCCTGCCCAGTCTCTTCCCCATTGGCCTCATAATGTTTCTGGTCCTTCTGAACTCAGCACAGATGCTGTCTTCTCTGGGACTCTGCTGAGCCTATGCAGCTCTTCTGTGCACCCTCGCAGCCTCTCAGTAAAGCAATAACGTACGTTGAAATTGAGTCCTCCATCATCTGCCTCTCCCACTAGTGTTTCCTGTTCCTTGAAGGAAGGTGCTGCATCTTCTTCACAATTGTATCTCCAGCCTGGTGTCTGGAGGCACTCCGGAAATGGTTGCTCAATGAATACACACTCAGTGTGGTACCTTTTCAGTTCCTGGAATATTTCAGGCCTCTTCTCACTTCAGAACTTCTGCACTTGATTTTTCCCTATGTCAGCCAAGTTTTTCCCTGTCTTTTTGTATAATTGGCCCCTTCTAATTCTTCAGGATTCAGCTGAAATTTCACTGTGCTGGAGAAATTTACTAACCACACTATCTGCTGACCTCTTTCACAACACTAAGCACTGGTTCTTATTATCTTCTATTTGTTTACTTGTTAATTGTATGACATCTCCCAATCCTCTTGCTAAAATATAACCTACATAAGAATCAAAACAGTATCTGTTTTATTATTCACTGTATCCACAACAGTTAGAAGATGGCTGACATATGATACTTATTTAAAAAATCCTTGATGAATAAATTAATGAAAGCAATTGATGTTAACTAGCGAAGGGAACTGTTTCTAAGGAGGAATGGGAGAGATTTGAGCATGTTCGTAAAGCAAGGGGAAACTTTGAAAGTGGGCAGGTGAGAATATAAGTTAGGGCCGGGTGCGGTAGCTCACGCCTGTAATCCCCATCACTTTGGGAGGCCGAGGCGGGCGGATCATGAGGTCAGTAGTTCGAGACCAGCCTGGCCAACATGGGGAAACCCCGTCTCTGCTAAAAATACAAAAATTAGCAGGAAGTGGTGGCACGCGCCTATAATCCCAGCTACTCAGGAGGCTGCGGCAGGATGATTGCTTGAAGCCGGGAGGCAGAGGTTGCAGTGAGCAGAGACTGCGCTGCTGCACGCCAGCCTGGATGACACAAGACTTTGTCTCAAAAAAAAAAAAAAAAGAAAGAAAGAAAGAAAAAATATAAGTTAGCGGGAGATTCTCGAGAACACAAAAGGTCACGAAGATAGGGCTATGTGTTGACAACTGAATCTGAAAAGTGAAAACAAAACCGAAAGCTAGGGCTCTTCCCATTTGGAAACTGGACAAAAGAAGGTAAGGTCAGTGTAGCAGATACTGTTTTTGCTCCATCCAGCTCTCTTTGGTCACACCAGGACTTGCACAAGGGGTCCCTGAGCATGGTAGTCACAGTGGTAAAGATGGATGTGACAGATACATGGGCCAAGAGCATGGGCTCCAGTTCACCAGATCTGCCTTGATGCTCTCAGTGCCAAAAATGACAGACCTGCAGCAAGCCTTATGTACGGCACCATCCCTTAAGGAGACAAACCATTAGTGCTAAATTAATTCCATGGGACACCTTCCACCCTGAAGTGAGCAGTAATTTGTCTTTATTCTGATACATATTCTGGGTATGGGGTCGCCATCCCTGCCTGCACTGCTTCACTCAGTATCATTAACTGAAGGTTTAAAGAGTCATTTTCCAACATAGGATCTCACATTAAATTGCCATGAACCACGGGATCCACTTTACATGTGTTAGAAATGCTTGTTCCCTGGTGCCATAAAGAAATAGCACTTGAACATAAATTTAATTTCCTCAGCAAGGCCATTTTTACTTTATTTTCTGGTACACTCGCCAGCAGTTTTGCCACGCGAGGACACCGAACAAAGGAGACTCAGGGTCATTTATAACCTGACGCGTCCACCTTACTGCTGTGTCTGGTTTCCATTGGCTGGAATGGGACCTCACATTCTGTATTTGTCCTGATTGGCTAGCAACTTAGAACTTTTTAAAAGAGGCAAAAGCAGAGGAGAACAAAGGAAAGAGGAAGTAACTTGTGGAATGCTGAGAAAGGTAAAAACACCTCCAAATAAGGAAGAAGAACAGGCTATGACCTAATGCTTGCGTGGACCAGTATAAGCATGCCAAGGCAAATATTTAGGCTAAACTGCGGGAGCTAAGAACATAAAGTACATTGATTTCTTTATCATGGCTAGCAGATATTTAAGAATGTTAGCACAGGTCTTTGAATAAATTTTGCTTCTAGCAGAAGTTACTATTTATTCCTAATTAGTTGGGGAGGAAAGTCTTTGAAGAGGAATCTCTACTTTTTACACATGGAATGAGGTTTGACAATGGGCATGTTGCCATGAGATCCACTGGTCCTATCAAAAACTGTATTATTCCGATAAGTTGTCAGCCTGAGAGAATATTGGAATGGCCCCTGAGAGGCTCAGTAAAGATGCCAGTGGTGTGCCATCCCGTGTGGTTGGGGCAAGATGTGGTATACATTGAACCAAGAGCAATTATAGGGTGCTGTGTCCCCAGTAGCAAGAATATACAATCCAGAAATCAAGGAGTAGAAGTGATCTCATCATTTTCACTTCCAGAACTTACTTGGGGTTTTTGTGCATCCATTTCTAAAATTTTAAGGTCTATTGTATTAGAAGATGCGGCCTTCAGGGATGGAATGCTTCCACTAGGAGAAACAGTAAGGGTTCCACTGAACCTAAAGTTACACTGTAGCCTGGTTAATTTGAGCCTCCATGATGATAGACCAGCAGCAAAGAAAGCATTTACTCTACTGGCATGAGTAACTGATGTTGGTTATGAAAATCCAGAGAGGCTGATGCATAAAGGCACAGGGATGACTGTACTTGGAACTCAAGAGATGGATTCTCTGGGGGTACTTCTAGTTGTTTCCATGTCTGCTGATGACAATGAAAGAACAATTGTACCAACCAGGCCTGACAACAGGGAAAAGTCTCTAGAAGCTCAGACCCTTCAGGGATCAAATTCTGGGTCACACCTGATACGCTAACTAAGACCAGCAAAAAAGTCAGCAAAAGTGAGAAGAATCAAACACAGGTGGTAGAAGAGGGAGTCGACGAGTATTAATTATGGCCTCAGATCCAACTGCAGCATCAGGATATTGGCCCATCCCACTAACCTCCCTGTTATAGGTCTTCTTGGGTTTGCAAGTGGCCACCAATTTGAAGACTCAGTGACAGAACAGAAAGGAATTCTTCTGGGGCACAAGTGGATCAGAAGGCTGCATGGTGGACTCCAACAAAGTCCAGGGCCCTCACCATGTTTCTTCCTGTCTGATGGTTTCTTGCCTCTCTCTGCCTGAGAACATATTCTTGCTGCAGAGTATGCTCCACTTGCATACAGGGGAGGCCTGCAGTGATGGAGAATTAATATCCCCAGAAATGACCCTCGACCAATGAGAAATGGGAACTATGGATCAATACCCCAACTATCTCACTGCTCAGTGCGGGGATTGGGAAGCATGGTCCACACAGTCTCTTACAGGACTGCCCAGTAGCCCACAGCACAGCGGCCTCTGATGCTCCCTTTGCTCGCTTTCCTTTCTTCTCACCCTTGCTTCTCCAGGCTGTCACAGTGACTCTTGGTGTCACCTCCCATAGAAAACTTGCACTCAAAGTCTTATATTGGAATTAACTTCTGGGCAAGCCCAAATTTTATTCATTTCCTGGGGCTACTGTAATAAATTACACAACCTGGGTGGTTTGAAACAATAGAAATAGGTTATTTTACAGTTTTGGAGAGTTTGCAATCAGTCTGGGCTGAAAGCAAGATGTTGGCAGAGCCACGCTCCCTCCAGAGGCTCTAGGGAGATTCTGCTCCTTGCCTCTTCCAGCTAGCATGGTAGTTACAGTGGCAAAGATGGATGCAATAGGTATGTGGGCCGACAGCATGGTTCCAGTTCACCAGATCTGCCTGGATGCTGTCAGTGCCGAAAACGAGAGATCTGCAGCAAGCGCTAGGTACAGCACCATCTCTTAAGGAGACAAACCATTAGCACTAAATTAGCACTGTAGCCACTAATGGAGTTACTACAGTACTGGCTGCTGGCATTTCTTGGCTTGTGGTTGCATCATTCCAGTCTTTGCATTCATCACATGGTTCCCTTCTCTGTGTCTGAGTGTCAAATCTCCCTCTACCTTATAAGGAAACTTGTGAGGACATGCAGGGCCCACTGTGATAATACAGGATGATCTCCTTATCTTAAAATCCTTAATTTCATATTTGCAAAGATGCTTTTATTCAAATAAGGTAACATTTTACAGGTCCTGGGGATTAGACTTGCTCTCTGGGGGGCTGTGGTGGGGTAGGGGAGGGGAGATTATTCTGCCCAACACACAAACTAAGATAGATGGATATAGATGTAGATAAAAGTTATGCATGGGGTAGCTTGGCAGTAGTGAGTACATTAGCTGTAGCAGTAGATATATTGGTGCCAGATTGTATAGACCTTGAATGTCAGACCAAAAAGACTGCCCTATACTCTTTAGATATTACAGAGTACAGTATATCACAGCGAGCATTATCTTCCTAAATTTATACTTGAAAGAATAGGTTGAGAGAGGTCAAGTAACTTAAAGTTTATGAAATTCACATGTGGTGGGTTGGAATCCAAAGCAAGGTCTATTTGGTTCATAAGCAATGCTTTTTTCCACTTTACCACACTGCCTCCTTCGCTTACCGGGCTCAGGCAATTCTCCTGCCTCAGCCTCCTGAGTAGCTGGGATTATAGGTCTATGCCATCATGCCCGGCTAATTTTTGTATTTTTAGTAGAGATGGGGTTTCACCATGTTGGCCAGGCTGATCTCAAACTGACCTCAGGTGATCTGCCTGCCTCGGTCTCCCAAAGTGCTGGGATTACAGGCGTGAGCCACTGCATCCGGCCTCTTCTGCAGATTTTGTTGAAAGAAGTTAATTTGCAGAAAGAAATAGAAACACCACTAGATGCAGCTCCAGAATTTTCTATTAACATTAGCTTTTAACTGTCAGATACAGTAAGTCCTTTCCAAAGTTCTAATTTCTGACTTCCTCGTTCTTTGTTCTCAAGATCAACTTCTCTGTCCCTTCTCCTAAGCTACCTGCTTTGTAAACAACTTCTCCTGCCAGTCCCACTCTGTAAATCACATCTCTTCCTTATTTGGAAAGAGTCCTCTTTACTCCTGGCTACCCATTCTGTAAACAGCCCCTCCCACCGAAACTACCCTTCCTGCCAAAATTACCCTTCCCCCATTTGCCCCACCTGGACATGCCCAAACATGCCTTGTACAATAACAGACAGCCACTCCCTTCCCGCCTAATTAGCCATATTCAATTTTAAACAGTAGCCAGTCGGGTCAGTTTAGCCTGTGCGGTCCTACTCCAGCCAATGTGGACAGGACACCAAAGCAGGGACTAACCACATTGGGGATAAAAACCCCTTCCCTCCTTTGTTCCGTGTGCTCTTGCAGTGGCCACAAGTGCAAGCAGCATCCTTCTGCAGAAGTAAATTTGCCTTGCTGAGAAATCCTTCATTTGAGTGCTCGCTTTCCTTGCGACTCCGAGCTCTTGTTTCTAACATAACTCTGGTGGTTTAATGTGCCTGTTACTCACATTTTATAAATAAGTGGGGATTTATATTGAGATTTATACTCATATGCAGAAAATAGTTCTTTTTCCCCTGTAGGTGGTTACTTCGGCAAGAGACACACTATTTTTTGTTTGAGAGAGAAAGTATATGTGTGTGAGAGTATATATGAGAACATTACATGTATTTGAGAGTACAGTTGTGCATAATGATGTTTCAATCAACAATGAGTCAAATATGCAATGATGGTCTTGTGGGATTATAATGGAGCTGAAAAATTCCTATCACCTAGAGATGTCATAGCCATCGTTATATTGTAGCACAACATGTTACTCATGCGTTTGTGATGATGCTGGTGTAAACAAACCTACTGTACTGCCATCATAAAAAAATCTAGCACATATCATTATTTATTATATGTAATAGTTGATAATGATAGTAAACAATTATGTTACTGGTTTATGTATTTATTAGGCTATACTTTTCATCATTATTTTAGAATGTACTTCTACTTATATAAAAAAGTTAACTGTAAACATCACTTAACTGTTAACTGTTTACTGTTAACTGTAACTGTAACTTAACTGTTAATGGTAGAAGCCTCAGGCAAGTCCTTCAGGAGGAATCCAGAAGAAGGCATTGTTATCACAGGAGATGACAACTCCATGCGTGTCATTGTCCCTGAAGACCTTCCAGTGGGACAAGATGTGGAGGCGGAAGACAGTGATATTAATGATCCTGACCTTGGGTAGGCCCAGGCTAATGTGTGTGTTTGTGTCTCAGTTTTTAACAGAAAAGTTTAAAAGTTAAAAATGCTTAAAATAGAAAAAAGCTTATAGGATAAGGATATAAAGAAAGAAAATATTTTTGAAAAGCTGTACAATGTGTTTGTGTTTTAAGCTAAGTCTTTTTAGAAAAGAGTCAAAAGTTAAAAAAATTAAAAAGTTTATAAAGTAAAACAGTTACAGTAAGCTAAGGTTAATTCATTATTGAAGAAAGAAAATTTTTAAATAAATGTAGTGCAGCCTAAGTGTACAGTGTTGATAAAGTCTATGAGAGTGTACAGTAATGTCCTAGACCTTCACATTCACTCACTGATTCACTGGAGCAAACATCCAGTTCTATAAGCTTTATTCATGGTAAGTGCCCTCCAAAGAAATATCTTTTTTTTTGTCGTTAATGCTGTATTATTACTGTACTTTTTCTATGTTTATAAATGTTTAGATACACAAACACTTACCATTGTGCTACAATTGCTTACAGTACAGTTCAGTAACATGCCATACAGATTTGTAGCCTGGAGCAATAGTGGGTGCCATGTAGCCTAGGTGTGTAGTAGGCTAGACCATCTAGGTTTGTGTAAGTACTTCTGATGTTCACACAAAGATGTGTGAACACATTTTCTGCCATTGAGCCACACATGACTATGTGAGTGAAAGTACCTATGTGTGTTTATATGTGTAAATATATATATACACACACATAATAGTTTGTATGTATATATAATATGTATTATATGTATATATAATAATTTGTTTATGTATAATAGTTTATATATAATGTGTATACTTTTTTTACTTAATGACAAAACATTAGCACAGAAATATCCCTCTTGATCAGAGTCAGACTCCTAGTAAACATTCATCTACTTGAATAAAACCTCAGGGTCTAGAAGCACGCAAAAAGCCTCCACGTACCTGAAACAGTTTACAGAAAGACACTTCACCAAGCCACACTCTTCTTCTTTTAGCCCCCAGTCTTAGTGGCAATTATCCACAGTATATATTTTTGTAATATGCATAGCCCTGTGGTTTCCTGTTCCACAGAAAATTAGAAGTAGAAAGTTCAGCAAGAACACAGGGGAGCATTAGAAGTCATAAATGAAGAGCACAGGAGCTGCTTGATGTGGCCAGGTAAAATCAAGGACCAAGTTCACTCCATTACCACCCAGAAAGGGGAACATATTGTGACGATGATCTTGTGTAAATATGTGGTTAATGATGTTGAGTATCCTCTATTTAAGAAGGCAGAAAAGTGAATAACATATTTGAAATGCTATTTACATCATAATGGTTAAGTTGTTTAAAGCTTTATTTTTGAATAGATGAGCTTTAGTTAGAAAATTGGCTAGTGGGAAAGAACTTCTTTCCTAAAGCAAATAGGAGATTGCTACAGATAATGTTTCTCATCTAAAACGCTAAGTAGGTAGATCAGAGCACACAGGTCTGCCACCCTGTACTTCCCATTTCACCCTGAATCCTTTCCAGGGACAGGAAAAGGGCATCTTCTAAGACTACATTCAGATGGCACAGGAAGAATAGAGGTGATATTGAGAGATCCTGAAATTAAAATGAATTTGGAAGATAGAAAGCAGATGGGATTACATTGACAAAAACAGAGAAAACCACAGCCCAACATGTTACACAGAAAAAAAAAAAAAAACCTACTAGGAAGACAAGAGCAGTTGTAGAGAAACTCCAAGCTGAGTATTAACAATTACGGAGAGCAGAAGGAGGCCCTTTGGCAATGATCAGGGTAATTAAAGAGCCGTCTGCAGAACGCAGGGCTCCGCTGCCGGTGACTCCCTCCTCAACTGAAGAGGAAACCCACACTGGTCACCTATGTGGTATTAACTCATCCAGTTCTTCATCCTTAGGCATAAACGGACATGCTTAAGGGAGGAAACCATTAAATTAAAAAGGAAGTAAGAGAAAGAGACAGAACATTGACCCTAGAGAAAACAGAAAATCCACAATAGAGAAATGAACTGCCAAACTTTCTATTTAATATCCTCCAGAGGATTCAAGATGACATTGCCCCCTAAAACAAGAATAGACTTCTATGGAAAAGAAACAGAGGACAAACAATAGTTCTTAGGATTATGGAATTACAAAAATAGAGCACTTACTGGAAGGAATAAATAGAAGAACAGGCACAATAAAGGACAAATTAGTGACCTAAAACAAAGGTCAGAATTTTTTTTTTTTCTGTGAAAGGCCAGATTTTAAATATTTTTGGTTTTCCAGACTATGTTGTCTCTGTCACAACTACTCAATCTGCCAGGGTAGTAGGCAAGTAGTCCCTGACAATATACAAAGAAGAAAGGGTTTATTTACAAAATACTATACAAACAAGAAAGAGTTTATTTACAAAATTCACCTTTACTTACAAAAATAGGTGGTGGACTGGATTCGGCCCATGGACTACAGTTTAGTGTAGTTTAGTGACCTGTGACCTAAAAGATAAAGTTAAGGAAATATTCCAAAACATACAGCAAAAAGATAAAAAGATGGGGAAAGAGTTCAAAGACAGGAAAGCTCATTTCAAGAGTTCCAACATATCTAATATGGTTTCAGAAATAGAAAAAAATTAAATGGAGAAAATTATAAAGAAAAATAAAAATTTATCATAGCTGAAGAGAAACATAGATTTTTTTTTTTACATAAAAAGAGCCACCCACATATATTATAAGAGAAATAATAATCCCTAAGCAATATAAATTGATAAGATGCATCTAGAATGTATCTTTTTTTTTTTTTTTGAGACATTCTCACTTTGTCATCCAGGCTGGAGTGCAGTGGTGCCATCATGGCTCACAGCATTCTCCCACCTCATCCTCCTGAATAGCTGGGAACACAGGTGCATGCCACCATGCATGGCTAATTTTTGTATTTTTTGTAGAGACAGTCTCACTATGTTATCCATGCTGGTCTCATACTTCTAGGCTCCCACAGTCTTCCCATCATGGCCTCCCAAACTAATGGAATTACAGGCATGAGCCACTGCACCCAGGCTAGAATGTATCTTTATGAAGTCTTAGAGCTATAGAGAATACAGATATTTCGAAAAACTCCTAGAGGAAAAATAGATTACCTATGTAGAAATTAGAATTATGTTGTCATCGAAATTCTTATTGGCAAAACTGTATGTTGAAAAAAAATCTGGGCCGGGCGCAGTGGCTCACACCTGTAATCCCAGCACTTTGGGAGGCTGAGGTGGGTGGATCACAAGGTCAAGAGATCGAGACCAGCCTGGCCAACATGGTGAAACGCTGTCTCTACTAAAAATACAAAAATTACCTAGGCATGGTGGCAGGGACCTATAGTCCCATCTACTTGGGAGGCTGAGGCAGGAGAATTGCTTGAACCCAGGATCAGAGGTTGCAGTGAGCCGAGATCGTGCCACTGTACTCCAGCCTGATGACACAGCGAGATTCCACCTCAAAAAAAAAAAACAAAAAAAAAAAACAGTCAGGCATGGTGGCTTATGACTGTAATTCCGGCACTTTTGAGGCCAAGGTGGTAGGATCTCTTGAGCTCAGTAGTTGAGGCTGCAGTGAGCTGTGATTGCACCACTGCACTCCAGCCTGGGCAACAGATTTGGACCCTATCTCAAAATAAAAACATTCTGAGATGTTCTGAGGAAAAATTATTTTTAAACCAATTGTTTCATATCCAACCAAAAAGCATTCAAATGGTAGGGCAATGATATAAAAGTATTTGTAAACATTCAAGAACTCAGAAACAGACCTTCTCTAGAGTTAAGATTTGTTCAAAGATTATTTACTACAAAAAGACAATTTGATCTAAGAAAAAAATTACATAAAATATAGTTTAAATAATGGTGTGTAAAGTATCCAGGATAATTTATAGGTAAGTTCAATAAAATACATGGTGATGCCATCAAACCTTCAACTTTTTCTTAAGTTCAGGTTGCAATTTGCCTCTCTACCCCACCCTCCCAACAGTTTTATGTCGTGTGTAGACATCGCGCCATTAAATCCAGTAATAACTCACTGTCAGATATATTACATACATGCTAGCACTTAGATCAGCATCTCTCTGTCCTGGATCCCCCAGGTGATATGGAGGTGATCCTGGCCTGAATAAGGTTTGATGCCTGAGGTGGGCTGAGAATGACTTCAAAGGTATGTTCACATCTTAATTCTGGAAGCCTGTAAATGTGACCTCATTTGGAAATAGGGTCTGTGCAGATATGCCTAAGTTAAAGATCTTTAGGTAAGACAGTCTTCACAAGCATCTTTATAAGGGAGAGACAGACGCAAACAGAGGAGAAGGTGATGTGAAGTTGGAGGCAGAGACGGAAGTGCTAAGGAAGGCTGAGGACGTGCAGCAATGTTGGCAACACCAGAAGCTGGATATGGTGAACAGAGAACTCCCTTAGACCCTCTGGAGGGAGCCTGGCCCTGCTGGCACATTAATCTCAGACCTGGCTTCCAGCACTCTGAGAGGGAAATTTTTGTTAATTTACCAAATGTGTAGTAATTTGTCATCACAGCCACAGGAAACGAATACAATACCCTTTAACTGACACCACACATAAATACACACTCTCTACAGAACTGTGTTACTCCCCATCTCCGGCTTTGTTATGCCTGTACTTGGCTATGTTACTGCCCATATCTGGCTATGTTACTCCCCCCATCTCTGGCTATGTTACTTCTCATATCTGGCTATGTTATTCCAACCATCTCTGGCTATGTTACTGCCCCATATCTAGCTATGTTACTCCCCATATCTGGATATGTTAACTCCCCCATATGTGGCTATGTCACTCCCCATATCTGGCTGTGTTACTCCTCCCATATTTGGCTAAGTTACTTGCCACCAATGGCTATGTTACTCCCCTGATATCTGGCTATGTTACTTCCCCATATGTGGTTATGTTACTCTCTCCATATCTGGCTATGTTACTCCCCATCTCTGACTATGTTACTACCTCTATATTTGGCTGTTACTCCCGTCATATCTGAGTATGTTACTCATCATCTCTGGCTGTTACTCTCACATATGTGTCAGGGTTTCCCCATATCTGGTTATGTTACTTCCCACATATCTGGCTAAGTTACTATTCCATATGTGGCCATGTTACTCTCCCCATCTATGGCTATATTACTCCCCTCATATATGGCTATGTTACTTCCATCATAGATGGCTATGTTACTCCCTAATATGAGGCTATGTCACTCTCCCCATATCTGGCAAGTTACTCTCCATCTCTGGTTATGTTACTCCCCCATATGTGGCTATGTTAGTCTCATCATATCCAGCTATGTTACTCCCCATATGTGGCTATGCTACTCTCCCCATAACTCGCTATGTTACTCCCCTTCTATCTAGCTATGTTAGTCTCACCATATCCGGCTATGTTACTCCCCATATGTGGCTATGTTACTCTCCCCATAACTGGCTATGTTACTCCCCTCCTATCTGGCTATGTTACTTCCCTAATATGTGGCTATGTTGCTCCCCAGGTAAGGCTATAACACTCTCCACATATCTGGCTAAGTTACTCAGCGTCTCTGGCTATGTTACTCCCCCATATGTGGCTGTGTTACTCTCCCCAACTTTGGCTATGTTACTCCCCTCATATGTGGCTATGTTACTCTCCCCATATATGGCTATGTTACTCTCCCCATAACTGGCTATGTTACTCCACCATTTGTGGCTATGTTACTCTCTCTGTATCTGGCTATGTCACTCCCCTCATATCTGGCTATGTTGCTCCCTACGTAGATGGCTATGTTACTCTCCTCATGTCTGCCTATGTTACTCCCCTTATATATGGCTATGTTACTCTCCCCATATCTGGCTATGTTACTCCACCATTTGTGGCAATATTACTCTCCCCGTATCTGGCTATGTTACTCCCCCATATCTGGCTATGTTGTTCCCTTCATAGATGGCTATGTTACTCTCCCTATATGTGGCTATGTTACTCTCCCCATATCTGGCTATGTTACTCCCCATATGAAGCTATGTCACTTTCCCCATATTTCTAAGTTAATCCCCATCTCTGGCTATGTTACTCTCCCAAATGTGGCTATGTTTGTCTCACCGTATCTGGCTATGTTACTCCTTCATATGTGGCTATGTTACTCTCTCCATAACTGGCTATGTTACTCCCTCATATGTGGCTATGTTACTCCCCCATATGAGGCTATGACAATCTCCACATCTCTGGCTATGTTACTCCCCCATATGTACCTATGTTAGTCTCCCCATATGTGGCTAGGTTACTCACCCATATGAGGCTATGTCGCTGTCACCATATCTGGCTAAGTTACTCCACATCTCTGGCTATGTTACTTCCCCATATGTGGCTAGATTACTCCCCTCATGCCCGGCTATGTTACTCTCCCATATGTGGCTATGTTACTTTTCCCATCCCTGTCTATGTTACTCCCTTCATATATGGCAATGGTAATTCCACACATGTGGCTATGTTTTTCAATCCATATATGACTATGTTACTCCCCTCATATATGGCTATGTTACTCCCCCATATGTGGCTATGTTACTCTCCCCATCTCTGGCTATGTTACTCTCCCCATCTCTGGCTGTGTTACTCTCCTAATATCTAGCTATGTTACTTCCCCACATGTCGCCGTGTTACTCCCCCATATCTGGCTATGTTACTCCTCCCATATCTGCCTATGTTACTCCCCCATATCTGGCTATGTTACTTTCCATCTCTGGTTATGTTACTCCCTCTATATTTGGCTATGTTATGCCCCCAATTCTGACTATGTTACTCCCCCCGTATCTGGCTATGTTACTCACCCATATCTGACTATGTTTCTCCACCTATATCTGGCTATGTTATTCCCTATCTCTAGCTATGGTACTCCCCTCATATCTGCATGTAACTCCCCCATATGGCTCTGTTACTCTCCCCATATCTGGCTATGTTACTTACCAATCTCTGGATATGTTACTCCCTCTATACTTGGGTCTTTTACTCCCCTCATATCTGGCCATGTTACTCTCCATCTCTAGATATGTTACTTCCCCTATATCTGGCTATGTTATTCCCCCATATGTTATTATGTTACTCTCCCCATATCTGACTATGTTATTCCCCCCATATCTATGTTACTTCCCACCTCTGGCTATGTTATTCCCCCTAATGTGGCTATGTTAGTATCCCCATATCTGGCTATGTTATTCTCCCATATGTGGCTTTGTTACTCTCCCATAGGTGGCTGTGTTACTGTCCCCATGTCAGACTATGTTACCCCCCAATATGTGGCTATGTTAGTCTCCCAATATCTGGCTATGTTATTCCCCCATATATGGCTATGTTACTTTTCCATATGAGGCTTTGTTACTCCCCCATAGATGACTGTGTTACTCTTCCCAGGTCTGGCTATGTTACTCCCCCATATGTGGCTATGTTAATATCCCGATATCTGCCTATGTTATTACTCCATATATGGCTATGTTACTACACCATAGGAGGCTATGTTACTCTCCCCATAACTGGCTATGTTACTTCCCTCCTATATGGCTATGTTAATCCCCCATATGAGGCTATGTTACTTGCCCCATATCTGGCTATATTACTGTCCTCATATGTGCCTATGTTACTCCCCCATATGAGGCTATGCCACTCTCTCCATATCTGGCTAAGTGCTCCTCATCTCTGGCTATGTTACTCCCTCATATGTGGCTGTGTTAGTCTCCCAATATCTGGCTATGTTACTCCCCATTATCTGCCTATGTTAGTCTCCATCTCTGTTTATGTTACCCCCTCTGTATTTGGCTGTTATTCCCCCGTATGTGACTATGTTACTCTCCCCATATATGGCTATGTTGCTCCCTTCATATATGGCTATGTTACTCCCCCATATGTGGCTATGTTACTCTACCCATCTTTGCCTATGTTACTCCCATCATGTCTAGCTATGGTACTTCCCCATATGGCACTCTGCCCATTTCTGGCAATGTTACTCCTCTCATATCTGGCTATGTTACTCATCATCTTTGGTTATGTCACTCCCTGTATATTTGGCTATGTTATTCCCCCCATATCTGGCTATGTGACTCCCCTATATCTGGCTGTGTTACTCCCCCATTTCTGACTATGTTTTTGTACCTTTGGCTATGTTATTCCCCATCTCTAGCTATCTTACTCCCTTCATATCTGGCTATGTAACTCCCCCATATGTGGCTATATTATTCTCCCCATATCTGGATATGTTACTTACCAATCTCTGGCCATGTTACTCCCTCTATAATTGGTTCTATTATTCTCCTCCTATCTGGCTAGGTTACTGCTCTCCATATGGCTATGTTACTCCCACATATGATGTTGTGTTACTCTCCCCATATCTGGCTATGTTATTCCCTTCATATCTGGCTATGTTACTCTCCTATAAGAGCCTATTTTGCTCTCCCCATCTCTGGCTATGTTATTCTCTTCATATCTGGTTATGTTACTCTCCTATACGAGCCTATGTTGCTCTCCCCATCTCTGGCTATGTTATTCCCTTCATATCTGACTATGTTACTCCCCCAATATGTGGCCCTGTTACTCTCCCTGTGTTTGGCTGTTAAACCCCTCATTTCTGGCTATGATAGTTCCCCATATGTGGCTATGTTACACTCCCCATATCTGGCTATGTTACTCCCCTCATATCTAGCTATGTTACTCCCCCACATGTGGCTATGTTATTCCCCTCTTATCTGGCTATGCTACGCTCCCACATGAAGCGACTGCACTCTCCACATATCTGGCAAAGTTACTCACCATCTCTATGTTATTGTCCCACATGTGGCTATGTTAGTATCCCCATATCTGGCTATGTTACTAGCCCATATGTGGCTATGTTACTTCACCTATATCTGGCTATGTTACTCCCCCCATATCTATGTTCTCCACCTATATCTGGTTATGTTATTCCCCATCTCTAGCTGTGTTACTCCCCTCATATCCAGCTATGTAATTCCCCCATATATAGCTATGTTACCCTCCCTCTCTCTGGCTATGTTACTCCCAATCTCTGGCTATGTTACTTCCTCTATACTTGGCTATGTTACTCCTTTCTTATCTGGCTATGTTACTCTCCATTTCTAGCTATGTTACTTTCCCTATATCTGGCTATGTTACTCCCCCATATGTGGTTATGTTACTCTCCCCATAGCTGGCTATGTTACCCACCCATATGTGACTGTGTTACCCTCTCCATATCTGGCTATTTTATTCCCCTCATATCTGTGTATGTTACTCCCCTCATATATGGCTATGTTACTCCCCCATATGAGGCTATGTCACTCTTACCATGTCTGGCTGAGTTACTTCCCATCTCTGGCTATGTTACTCCCCCGTATGTGACTATGTTAGTCTCCCCATATCTGGCTATGTAACTCCCCTCATGTATGTCTATGTTACTCCTTCATACGTGGCTCTGTTACTCCTTCATATGAGGCTATGTTACTCTCCCCATTTCTGGCTATGTTACTCCCCTCATATCTAGCTATTTTACTCCCCAATATGTGGCTGTGCTACTCTCCCCATCTCTGGCTGTTTTACTCCCAATCTCTGGCTATGTTACTCCCTCTGTATGTAGCTATGTTACTCCCCTCTTATCTGGCTATGTTACTCTCCATCCCTAGCATGTTGGTTTACCTATATCTGGCTATGTTACTCCCCCATATGTGGCTATATTACTCTCCCCATATCTGGCTATGTTACTCCCCTCATATCCAGCTATGTTACTTTTTCATGCATGCCTATGTTACACTCCCCATATCTGGTGCTTTTACTCCCCTCGTATATGGCTATGCTACTTTCCCATATGTGGCTGTTACTCTCCCCATATCTGGCAAGGTTACTCCCCTCTTACATAGCTATGTTACTCCCCCATATATGGCTATGTTAGTCTTCTCATATCTCGCTGTGTTACTCCCTTTCTCTGGCTATGTTACTTTTCCTATGTCTGGCTACATTACTCCCCCTAAATCTGGCTACTATAGCTATGTTACTCCTCCCATATATGGTTATGTTACTCTCCCGGTATCTGGCCATGTAACTTATCCAAATGTGGCTATGTTACTCCTCCATATGTGGCTATGTTACTCTCCCCATATCTGGCTGTGTTACTCCCCATCTCTGGCTATGCTACTTTTCCATATGTGGCTATGATACTCTCCCTACATCTGGCTATGTTACGCTTCATCTCTGCTTATTTTACTTCCTCTGTATTTGGCTATGTTACTCCCATCATATATGGCTATGTTGCTTTCCTCATTACTGGCTATGTTTCTCCCCCATCTCTGGCTCTGTTAATTTCCATATATTTGGCTATGTCAGTCTCCCATATGTGGTTATGTGACTCCCTCTATATCTGGCTATGTTACTCTCTGTATATTTGGCTATGTTTCTCCCCTCATATCTGGCTATCTTACTTCCCTTCTCTGGCTATGTTACTTTCCTATATGTGGCTATATTACACTCTCCATATCTTGCTACATTACTCTCAATCTCTCGCTATGTTACTCCCTTGATATTTGGCTATGTTACTCCCCATCTCTGGCTATGTTACTTTCCTTATATCTGACTGCGTTACTCCCCTCATATCTGGCTGTTTCTTCCCGTCTCTGGCTATGTTATTCCCCATCACTGACTATTTTACTTTCTCTGTGTCTGGCTATGTTACTTGCCCATAAGTGATTATGTTCCTACCCCCATATCTGGCTATGTTACTCCCCATCTCTGGCTATGTTAATCTCTGTCGTTGGCTATGTTACTTTCTGTGTATCTGACTATGTTATTCCCCCTATATCTGGCTATGTTAACCCCAGTCTATAGCTATGTTACTTTCCCTATACCTGGCTTTGTTACTCCCCCATATGTGATTATGTTACTCTCCCCCTATCTCGCTATGTTACTCCCCCATACATGGCTATGTTCCTTTCCCCATATCTGGCTATGTTACCCCCTGTCTCTGGTTGTTATTCCCAATATATTTGGCTGTGTTACTCCCCTCATATATGGCTATGTTACTTTCCTCATATCTGGCTATGTTATTTCCTATCTTTGGCTATGTTAGTTTCCTTATACCTGGCTATGTTACTCCCCCATATGTAGTTATGTGACTCCTGCCATATCTGGCTTTGTTATTCCCCATCTCTGGCTATGTTACTCTCTATATTTGGCTATGTTACTCTTCATCTCTGGCTATGTTACTCCCCCATACCTGGCTATGTTACTCTCCCATATCTGGCTATGTTACTCTCCCCATATCTGGCTATGTTACTCTCCCCATATCTGGCTATGTTACTCCCTGTCTCTGGCTATGTTACTCCCCATATCTCACTATCGCAGTGCTTCTAATATTTTAGATTCTAGAAGAGTAAGATTTCACATGATAATTCTGGCAACTAACATTGGATTGCCCAATTTCTTTATCCTAAAATCACATGGAAGAATAAAAATCATCTACTATCATTGGTTCATAAATGGAAGGACATTTTAACATGATAGGTATTTACAAAAAACAATTCTTTAACTTGAATACATTTAAATGTATGAGAAACACACACTGTTATCCATACCATCATTGTGCAATGGAGCAGTTGGAAACTTCGTGACAGCTGGGTCTTCACCTATAAATGGGCATTTGGCCCTACTGGCTCTGTTGGCTTAAGTCTGACATACCTGTTTCTTTACCTTCTTTACCCTACTATTTGCTATCCCAGCCAGCTGCCAAAGAAAGTGTGCAGAAATTCTAGAACTCTTCTCTATCCAGTTCCCTCTACAAATCAGATTTAGATCAATGGAGACTACAGTCAAGGAGTATCATTGTATATGTTGGTTAGCAAGAAAATCAAGGATTATCACAAAAGAATAACTTTCTAATTTTTTATATACGAAAAAATTATCTTTCCATTACTATGTTAAAAATATAACATTCTTAAGTTTTAAAGATTTATTAACAAAAGGAGAGAAAAACTAAACATATAGCATCAAGAATTAAAATAGAGATAAAGAGAAGTTTAAGAAGAAATAAGATAATATACAGTTGACTCTTGGACAACAAGGGCTTAAACTATACGGGCTCACCTATATGCAGACTTTCTTCCATCTCTGTCACCCCTGAGACCACAAGACCAACCCATCCTTCTTCCTCTTCCTCAGCCTACTCAATGTGAAGACAATGAAGATGAAGACCTTAATAATGATCTACTTACTCTCAATGAATATTAAATATGTTTTCTCTTCCTTATGATTTTCTTTTCTCTAACTTACTTTATTATAAGAATGTAGTATGTGGCCGGGCGCAGTGGCTCACAGCTGTAATCCCAGCACTTTGGGAGGCCTAGGCTGGTGGATCACGAGGTCAGGAGATCGAAACCATCCTGGCTAACATGGTGAAACCGTGTCTCTACTAAAAATACAAAAATTAGCCGAGTGTGGTGGCACGCACCTGTAGTCCCAGCTACTTGGGAGGCTGAGGCAGGAAAATGGCGTGAACCCAGGAGGCAGAGCTTGCAGTGAGCTGAGATGGTGCCACTGCACTCCAGCCTGGGCAATACAGGGAGACTCCATCTCAAAAAAAAAAAAAAAAAAAAAAAAAGAATGTAGTATGTAATACATATATCATACAAAATATGTGTTAACTGACTATTTATGTTATCGATAAAGCTTCCAGTCAACAGTAGGCTATTAGTACTTAAATTTTGGGGGATTCAAAATTTATATGTGGACTTTCTATTGTGGGAGGTGTGGTGGGCTGTTGTCTATAACCCCCAACTTGTTCAAGGGTCAAATGTATTGTGATGAAGATAAAAGGTGGAGATAACAACATAGATTCTGTTCATCTCAGAATCAAACAGCTCTGTTCTGACTAGGTTTCCTGGTCTGGAACTACACTTCTCATCTCGCTGGGAGAGATGAGATTAAAAAGCAAAACTATTAACTTCCTGAATACCCTAGGCTAGAAGTCTTACTGTTCTTTCATATGTTTCTGACAATTGTCATTAAGCCAGTGGGTGGCTTCAAAAACAACCCTCAATCTTAAAGCTATCTTCCCCAAAAAGCTTTCCTCTCCCCTTCTTTTTTTCTGTATAAGCTCTAGTAACTTTTCGTGTTCTGCCATCAAGCTGATGAGGTATTTCCAGAGGAAAAAAATTAAAACACTTGCAATACTCTTCGAGAGAGGTACCTTGCTTTAATCCACTATCTCCTAAGGTGAGGTCTCCTCCTCAGCTCATATAGCTTCTTATATCTTTTTACCTCTCATATTGAAACTGACCCAATAGTCCCATAGATGTTGTTTTTTTTTTTTTGATAGACATAGAAATCCACCCTTATGTTCTTAAAGCTTGAAACTTAATGTTTGATTTATCTGAGTTCCTTCCTCAGGAAATGGTCTTCAGTCCTCTCAAAAAAAAAAAAAAAGAGAAAGAAAAAAAGTATCAAAGAATTGAAACTCACCACATCACCACATCCAGACAATGAGATGCCAGACCCCAGACTCATCATGACTGCTTCCTTGCCCCTCCCTAGTTCTTGTTTTCTTACACATTGATACATTCTTCTCTGCTATATAAATCACTCAGTTTAGCTGCTCAGGGAGATGGATTTGAGACTGAGCTCTCATCTCTTGCCTGCAGCACCCAATTAAAGCCTTCTTCCTTGGCAAAATCATTGTCTCAGTCATAGGCTTTCTGTGCAGCAAGCAGCAGGACCCAGACCAAACCCCTGCTGTTTCTGTAGCAATATTCCTTCAAAAATTCTTAAGTGACCCTGAAATCAACAAGTGGGGACCTCTGTTGTGAGTCAAATATCAAGGCAGATGAGTGACTTTAGATTCGAGAAAAAGGAATTTAGGATAAGGATTTGGTTTATTTGAAAATTTGCCTGTTTGCTTCTGTCATTGCCTTTAAAGACAATGCTTGGAGAACTTTAAAAATAAAAGACTAGAAAAGATTTGGGATTACCTCTTTTTATTATGTTGGAAACACCGAAGTTCAGAGAGGCCATGTGATCAATAGCATGCCTTTCCTCCTCAATCTCTATTTTTCTGTTTCAGGAAGTTGAAACATAGAAAGTTCAAGAACAAAAAAGAATCACTGACTTCAAAATGCTTTACATTGTTACATAATCTTAAAATGTGATTACACTGTCATTTAATCTGCCTACCTGCTCCATAACTGTAAATATCTAGTTACCTTATCCAAGAAGGCAAAGATACATTTATAACCCAAGGCTTCTCCCTTCTCATTTTAGGTAATGAGGTATTTAACAATTTACCAGACTGCTCCTTGTTAAAACTGATTCTTAAATGTTGTTGCCAATTTGCCAAATAGCATTATTGTCTGTTTTTGCAACAGTGTCAACCAAAATCAGGAGAAAAGCACCCTTGTTAAGAGCTTGGCTTACAGTCATTGATCTTGGTTAAAGTTTCGAAAAAGTAATCTGGGGACAATGGCCAATTTGAAACTGGAATGGACTAAGACTGAGTGTGTTTGAGGTCCCTGTTTGGTGGTTTCATCTGGTTTAATTTTTAGGTTTATTTTTGCTTTTTAAGTCTTCAAACAAAGCAATTGAACTTTGGGGCTTATTCTGGCAAGATCTGTGTTTGCAGTTCCCTGTTAAATTTCTGTTTTATTGATTGTGGGTTTTACAGCTTTCCCTCCACCCTTTTTATAGCACCTTGGGTAGTTCTAAGCACTGGGACTGGGTTATTAGGATTGGAGCTTTTCTTAGGCACCAACGAGGCATGAAGTGTGAGCATTTTCTTCCATAGTGGGATATTCAGACCTGCTAGTACAGTTACATAACTGGGAACACATTGATACAGTTAAGGTTAATGACCTAATAACAACAGAAGGCACTTTTACAGACAAATGGTTTGTTGTAATTGTTGCAGCAATAACATACTGCACATGGGTGTTCAATCTGCCTTAGCACCACCCAGCTTGAGCACCATCCAATAGGCTGACTGGGGGAAGAAACACTTTGCTTTCAAATAGCTTAAACAACATCACTAGTGAATTCCTGAGTGCCGGAACACCTGTCGTAAAGCCTGCTGAGGCAGAAAATACCAAGTCCACAGTATTTCCCACTTCTCCAAGACTGGGGATATCAGTTTGCCTCAGATTTTATCCTGTGTGCAATTTGCACTGTGGGAGTTAAGTTGACCTTTGCAGAAGCAGCACCTACTCTTTTAGGTCACTTAATGAGCACCAATTAACGAATGACTTTACTTTGAACCTCTAGGAAATTAACTAATGGAAACAGGACATTGTGACCTCAGCCATTGTGCTTCATTTGCTACCCAAGTAACACGTTAACTTAAGGGCCCTATGAATACCCGGGAGAGCTGCCTTCTGTAGTCACAGGGAGCACTCTTCTAAATCTCAAGGTGAAATTGATCTTTCCATAAAAATGTTTCTGTTAACTAAAACGGAATGAGAAGGGTTTTCCCGAGAATGCAGTACCTCTTTTGGAAAACTATCAGGCTGTCAGGATGCCCTTAAGTACTCTTAAGTAACTCACTTACTGGCACCCTGAGGCCTGGAAGAGTTAACATCCCTTTTGCACTGAGCTAGAGCCACGTCTGTGACATTGGTAAAAGGAATTTTTTACTATCCCACTTCCTAGATGGGGAAACTACATTCTGAACATAGGAAATGGTGAAATTCACACCAAAAATTACGTTATAATAAAAACTAATCTAGGCGGGGCCCAATGGCTCACGCTTGTAATCCCAGTACTTTGGGAGACTGAGGCAGGAGGATCACTTGAGACCAGGAGTTTGAGACCAGCCTAGGCAATATAGCGAGATCCTATCTCTACAAAAAAAAAAAAAAAAAAAAAAAAAATGAATGGAAAAGGAATCTTGTTCTCATGAAGCACGGTTTTGGAAAACAAGAAGTGAGGACTGATGGGGTCAGAGGAGTGTCTAACGTGGAAGGGCGGGTATCGGCTCCAGCCATCCCCTTAAAATTCCTTTTTAAATTATCGTTTTCCCCCTCTCCCTTTCTCTTTGTAAGGTTTTATTCTGTCTTCTTGCCCATGACAAGTTCTTTTCTACTTACTGCTTAATGTGAAGTGGTCTGAAGATGAGTCTGTGTTGGAGTAGACGTGGAGAAAAACACTCCTTGTTTGGGAGGTTTAATCATTTACCCGATGTGCTACTGATATTTTAAAATGTCATGCTCTTCTGGTTACAGTTTCCAATCTGGGGCCTGCAATGCGGTGTGACCCAAATCAGCCGTCTCCAGTGTGGTGACACATCACCTCGACATGGGGCAGGAGGCAGGTGGCTATGTCTGGGCACCCAGCTGGGTGATTCCTCCAGACGTGCTCTCCCTGTCTTCCCCTCTGGCCCTCAGCAGGAAGCCAGGGTCTATTTGAGCTGTTGCTGCAGCAGCCATGTGCATACTTTGCCCAAGAGAAAAAAAAAAATCCTTGCTCTTAAACTTAGATAAATTATTCTAACAAGAGAACACAAAACAGCTTCTTGGCAGGTGAGGACCCTGTTTGCGTGAGATCATGTATTTTTCCTTTTGCTTTTCTCCAACAGTTTACTTAAAGGGCACCCACAAATAGAATGTCACAGTCCTGGGAAATTGTTTCACCAGTATTTCACTGAGTACTTGGGAACTGAGAAAGTACAAATGAATCAAACACAGTCCAGACCACAGCGTCAATAAGCAAATTATCTAAAAGAGGAGTTACAAATGCTAATTCTAAAGTCAGATAGAAAGTTCAGACAGAGAGATCCTGGAGTTCAAGAGAAGGAGCAGTGACTTGTAACTTGGAGAGTTCAAGAAGAGGTGGGAAGAGGTGGCCATTTTGAGGGTTCTGGAAGGCCAGTCCTATTTGTGTTTGTCAACTTGGGCAAGATGTCAGAGGGTCTGGGCAGAGGAGCAAGAAGAGAACAGAAAGGAAAGACCCAACATCTTATTGGGTCCAGAGGGTTTTCATTTCTTCTATCAGTAACACAGGTCCTAAATGGCAAAAAACAGTGACCACAGCTCATTTTCTGCAATATAGGCATCACTTTTGCTTTTTCCTGACACATGTAATGAAGTTTGAATCTATTTTTCCTTCCAAAAAGCTCTAAAAAGTTTTCATACGTGTATTGTAAGGAGATTTAGTGAAATTAGTTTTTTTGAGACGGCTTGTTGCTTTGCTCAGCTCCCTGTACTGTTGTAAAGTGCCAACGCATAACCAGGCAGCAATAACAGTTACCAAGAGCATTCCCTCCACAGCAATGTGGCCAGATGGCACTGAGTGATCAGGCACAGCCCGAGGGGCAAGAGGGGCAAGGTTTTGGCATCTGCTTCTTTGTAAAGGTAGATCTGCCGGGAGCACTTGGTGCCGGCCTACAGGAAGTAAGAACTCTGCACCACCAACCCCAGGCACACCTCTGAGTCATAAGTCTTGGAAGACTTCTGAAAGTCATAAGTCATTAGAATTATGCAACAGGCTTTGGGACAAATGAGACGTTGGAGAGAGCTATTCTAAAATCTGAAAGAAAAAAGCTAGTTTTAAGAAAAAAATCACAAATGATAGTTACATCTTTGAATATTGTATTTTTAGGAAAATGCATACCCCATTTGAGAAGGTTAGCGACCTTGGCCTAAAGCGTTGTTTATGTTAGACATGAGGAGTTGACTGAAATGTGCTCTCATAAGCATTTCTAGCACCATATTTACAACGTTGGCCCACAGCCAGAATAAGACGTGATCTTCCTATTGGACTGGGTTCATAGGAGCGTTTGTTCCTTAAATAACTCTAGTCTAGGCTGGGTGTGGTAGCTCACGCCTGTAATCTCAGCACTTTGGGAGGCCCAGGCAGACAGATCACCTGAGGCCAGGAGTTCGAGACCAGCCGGGCCAACATGGCTAAACCCCATCTCTACTGAAAATACAAAAATTAGCCGGGCAAAGTGGTGGGCATCTGTAATCCCAGTAGTCCCTGTAATCTCAGGAGGCTGAGGCAGGAGAATCACTTGAACCCGGGAGGCGGAGGTTGCAGTGAGCTGAGATCGCACCACTGCACTCCAGCCTGGGCGACAGAGGGAGACTCCGTTTCAAACAAACAAACAAACAAACAAACAAACACCCTCTAGTCTAGCAGAAGCCCATAATATGTTATTAGTTCTTCAACTCCATCAGTGCTTGGATCCACATATCTTCCAGGATCCTTCCCTCTTGAGTTTGATTCTGGCTGAACTTTCTCAACAAAAGAAGCCACGGAAAAAGAGGCAATGTTTCAATAACTGCCATTTGTTAAGCAAACTTTGTTCCCAGTTGTAATTATTCTGCTTCAAAATAGCATAACAGCACAGGGTGAGAAAGTCATCCACAAAATTGTTTTCTCCATCCTCCTGCTTGATGGACAATTGTACTCTCTCTAAAAAAAAAAAGAACTTATTTAAAATTGCATTTTGCTATTGCTCGAGCCAAGAATGTCTTCCTAACACTTAGCCTATTTTTTTGTGTGGTGGTCAATTCCATAATTCCTTTTCTACACTTAGATGTGAAGGGAGACTCACCACCAATATAATATATCTGTAAAGCTGAAGTGAGCAGCATCTGGAAGCCAGCACATCTATATCTGTTCCAGAGTCAGAGAATCTATCCCTCAGCTACCACCTCATGGTATACAGATGGTCACAAAGGGCAGAGGTCTCTACGTGATCTGAACTTTGTCAGCCCTTCCAGCCTCAGCTCCTACTGTAGCTTCTTATCCCCGCCATGCCCTGACAATGCCAGCCAGCACTCTTGAGGCTCTCAGAAGGCACAGGGTGTGTCCAGCTTCCATGCCTTTGCTTGTGCTCTTCTCTCCATTCACTGTGGGAGCACTTACATACTGCTGGACACACAAAGCATGCAGCTCAAGAGCATGTGAATGAATTTGCACAAATCCATTATTGGGTGTGGTATGCCAACTCTCACCAAATGTCAAGTAAATAATATATATTACAGGTTTCATTGTCAATAATATTTCTTGTGGAAATTATTACATATCTTAATATTTTCTACTGTAGATTAAGTATGGCAAAGACTTTCAACTTTTCTGCTAAGAATTAAATTTTAATTTCTTTAGTCACCTCTTGCCTCTCATCTGATCTATCTTTAAATAGATCCATCCAGGTTATGGTTCAATTCTTCTGACCAACACCTTTAGGAGACTATCCGATGCTTAACACTATAGTGTTAAGATACTTTATATTTTCTGAAACACAGATCAGGTTGAACAAGGATTTTGTATATCTTTTTTTGTACATAAGAGGCAGTCTAAATTATACTGTCTAGATGCTATTAGGATTTCTTGAACATTATAAGAATTTGGGGACCACAGTATAATATCGTAATTGGAAATAGGACTGGCCTGGAAATTCTGAGACATATGGTTTCCCTGCCATGTTTCTGAATCTTACTGCTATATTTTCTTTTGTTTTGTTTTGTTTTTAATCTCACCACCTACCACAGAAAGAGGATGTTTTTTCAATGTACATGGCTACATAAGACGTTTCAAAATCATACTTACAATGTTTCATTTAATAAATATCTAGAAACAAAGCAAGTTTTTTTAGTAGATTCCATACTACTCCAATTCTCTTCTTAGTGGATGAAAATAGTCTCAAGATTTAGGGATCCAGTTACCCAGACACACAGGGGATTTACTGAACCTAAATACCACCCAGGAGCTCTAATGGGAGCTCCCAGCCTCAGCACCCCATGCATCAATTGGCAGACTTCTTTTAGTGACTAAGGCACAACTACCTGCTGTTTTCAATTACTTCTTGCTTGACAAATGCAGTGGAGGTTACTCGCATAGTTTTTGTAAACTCCACAAAGTGCAGGAAGAAATTTTCAGAAGTCTTGCCACTGTGGGGAGACTTTCAAAGGCATCTGTCATGACTGTAGGGGAGGAAGCTTGGAGGATTTTTTGCGTTAATAAAGACATCTTACAAGGGGACTTGCATTTAGGGCCCCAGAGTTTCTTCAAAGTGGTTTCTATTTTTGACTTCTTGCTCATCTGTGTTAGAGCCAAGACGTACATCAGGGATCTCAGACAGCAAATTTATGTTTCCTAAACCTTCTGTACGCATCAAGAAATGTAGTTTAATGACTTGTTGGGAATGTTCGTATAGGTCATTTGTTGTTATTTGTTTGTTTGGCCCATTGCATCTTAAACAACACAATAAAACATTTGTATTGCCCTTTCCGAGAATGCACTGCCAGGTGGATAAAAAGTAAAAGAGACTGATTTAAATAACAAAGATACTGACACTCTCCTGTAGACTCTTTGTTAGACTTTAGCAACTTCTATGAGGGGATAATATGCTATTGATCTCCCATTAGCATGATTTTAAAAGGTCTTATTTATTTAACCATGTGCATTGAAAAAGATTCTCTTTCTATCTTACATAGTAAGTAATACTCAAAACAAAACAAAAGAAAACATAGCAATAAGATTCAGAAACACGGCAGGGAAACCATATGCCTCAGAATTTCCAGGCCCATTTCTAGTTATGATATTGGATACTGTGGCACTGCCTGGCCTCTCCATATACCATATGGAGCAGGGTCCTGACTTGGCACACACCATGATACTTCATGAGCCTACAAACAGCAAATACAGAGTGAGTTTCCCAGCGTAGAATCCCAGAATGCCAGAGTTGGAAAGGTACTTAGAGATGGCAGAATGCAGTCCTCTTTTGTTTTGTTTTGTTTTTTAAATAAGATCTGGGCCCAGGGAGTTGATGTCACTTGCCCAAAGATAACTGATTAATGGCAGAGTTAAAGCTAGAGACCCAAGTTCCTCACTCTCAGTCCGGACATATTCCACTCAGTGCCATATATTCATTGCTTCTTTGGTGTTCATTGCTCCCAAGGAGCATGGGAACCAACGTTCTGGCTTCGTCTTATAAACAAACATAGTGAAAGACAGAAGAGCCTGTCATCAGCTGCCATCTCATCACCAAAATTATCTCCACATCTCTAGGATTTCCTGAGCTACCCATAGGAACTAGGCAGTGGCACTGATCATTGTTGTTACCAACAACCCTTCCCCATGAATCTCTGACCCTGCACCCCCAGCAAAGAGGATTGCCACATGGAGAGGATAAATAGAATTGTTATGAGCAAATGGTAATAATACTTGTAACCATAATTATGGCTAAAACAATATTGAGTATTTAGAACATATTATATATAATGCCAATCACATGCATTGTCTCATTTAACTCTCATAGCAACTTCATGAAATTAAATACTCATATTATCCTCATTTCCAGATAAGAAAAATGAGGCCTACACAGATAGATGAACTTGCCTAAGCTTATATACCTAGGAAGTAACAAAGCAGGGATTTGAACAGAGACCATCCAGCTCCAAAGTTAGCATCTTCCTAACTGTGCTTATGAGATAGACAGGGAGGGGAAGGTAGGTGAAAATTTCAGGGGGAAAAACACAGTGTGTGCAAAGATGTACAGGATATGAGAGCAAATGCTGTTCAAGGAACTACAAGGATTCAGTGTGCCCGCACCCCAGGGTGAGCGCAGTGAATCCAATGGCTGAGGCCTAGTTTGGAAAGGAGGAAGGGAGTCTGATCATGAGAGCAATGCATGGGAGTTAGATTTTATCTCAGGCAGGAACATCAGGAAGGAAGAAAAGAAGATCTAGTAAAATACTTGGGAAATAAAGTTACATAGGACCTACTGATTTCCTATTCATCTGTCTAAATCGCCTTCTATGTGACATGAAAAAGGTGACCTACTCCCCATACACATTGGTAGTTTTTCTTTTAAAAGATATCACAGTAAAAAATATCAATAAATATATGTGACTGACCAGCCTGACCAACATGATGAAACCCCGTCTCTACTAATAATACAAAAAAATTAGCCGGGCGTGGTGGCAGGCGCCTGTAATCCCAGCTACTCAGGAGGCTGAGGCAGAAGAATCTCTTGAACCTGGGAGGCAGAGGTTGCAGTGAGCTGAGATACCACCACTGCACTCCAACCTGGGAAACAAGAGTGAAACTCCATCTCGAAAAAAAAAAAAAAAGTGACTATTGCAGATGGGAATAATTTTTCAGTTTTTTTCTTAGTTTCAAACTTGGTTCTTTTATTCCACTTCAAATTCAACAAATCTTATTAGAACAGACATGTGTTATTCAATTAAATTCAGGTTTCATTTTAACATTGATTAGATTTTGAAGGAGGGATTGTCGACATAGAAGAACCAATGAGTCAGATACAGCTAATAAGCTTCCAAACCTTGGAGCAGAGATGCTGTCTCATCTAGGAGATGTTTCATTCCAACAGGGAGATGGCATTTTCCATATTTTTCTTGATTATTTTCTTTGCAAGATTAACATGAGTAATTGAAAGAGAGTTGGAATTAGCATATTGAGGGGATTGTTTATTATTTATGAGATAGAAATCACACTCCTATATAACCAAACTCATTAAGGCTCACATAATGTTTTTTCCATCTTCTACAGACATAATTCCCATAACAAGTAAGTAGTTTACACATCCCCAAAGTACATGAAACTCTCTGAGATCCAAGTTTATGATCCAGGAGTGGATGGCATCATCCTGACCTGAGCCCTTTCTCCATCCCAGCGGTACTGCCCCAAAACATGCTTCCAGAAATAATACGTGGGAAATAGCCATTGCAAATTGATTTCCACCTGGCCCCAACATACAGGGACTTGGCTGTTCCTGCACATGCAGCTTGGACCCGGTAATCAGCTCTGCACCCTCTCATTGGCTCTGCCTGTCCCTTTTGTGCCCTGTTTGGCATCTCTAGCCGACTTCCCACTGTGTCCCCTCCCCTGGCTTACAATCCTCTCTGCCACCCTTCCCATCATTTAAGCCCTTGCTCTGGTGCTTGAGAATTTCTTCCTCAGTAGGCTCGAAAGACGAAACACAAAAATTTGCCCTTCGTCCCCTTCCCTGGGTACTGTTACCTCGCCAGTTTCCTCACCAGTAAGATGCTTCTTCCAGGGTTGAATCAGTGAGCAACCCTGCTGTGCTCATGGAAATGATATGGACAGGAGACAGGGAAACACTGGGTAGAAGAGGGTGGTTCCCTGGCAAAGGCCCTACCCTCAAGCCTGGATACCCGCGGCCCTAAGTGAGAACAAGCATTCCTGTTTTTGCGCTCAAAAAGTTGCCTTTTGTCCCACCATGCCCCCTATCCTGTACCCATATAAACCCTGAACCCCACGCTCCAGAAGCAGACGAGGAAGACAAGACAAACGGCAGAACAGCGCGGCAGAGAAGGAGCGAAAAGAAGGAACATCCGGAGGAGTTCGGCTGGGGACAGTCAGAGAATCGGCTGCTGGACGGCCAAACTGCAGGGGAAGATCATCTTCCCACTCCATCCCCTGTCCAGCTCCCATTCCATCCCACTGTGAACCACCTCCACCAATCAATAAAACCCCCACATTCATCCTTCAAGTCCATGTGTGACTGGGACTCTGTACAGAGCTCAGGGTACAGAAAGTTATCACACTGGCCCCCTGTCCCTGCAAAAAAGGCAAAGGGTCCACTGAACTGGTTCACCCTTAAGCCACCCGGGGACGGCAAATCTAAGAGAGTGCACTGTAAGATGCACCGACTTGGGCTTTGGGAGTCGCAGACACCCACCCCTGAATGCTGCCTTGGCGCCGGAGCCCAAAAGCACTTGCCTGGTTCCTGCACCTGCCTGTCTGCATGCATCCCCTCCCGTAAGGGGATTGAGCTCCAGGCAGCCAAACCTACAGCCACACCCCTGTCACATGTCCTGCGAGGTGGGTGCGGGGAACTCCCATTTCAGTAAGTTCCAGGTGAGTCTTAGCCATCCACCAAAGTATCAGCTCCACAAAGGCAGGGATTTGGGTTTGTTTGGTTGACAGCGGTGTCCCCAGTATCTAGAACAGTGCTTGGAAGACAGTTGATGTTCAATAAATATTTGTTGAATGAAAAAGTGAATGTATTCGTGTAGTAAGTTCTTAAGAAATAAAAATTTTACATTTAAAATTAATTAAATCTATTTATCTTTTCCCTTCAGGTGCCTGTTTTGGTGACATGATGAGAAAATTATTAACACCTCCAAATTTATGAAACTTTTTTCACAAATGCATATATCTACTTAAAATCTGTATGTAATATATCTACATACATATGTGTGTGTGTATATATAGGGGTGTGTGTGTGTGTGTGTGTGTGTGTATACAGCTGACTCTTGAAGGGTTTTAACTGCACTGGTTCACTTATACACAGATTTTCTTCCACTTCTGCCACCCCTGGATAGCAAGACCACCTCCTCCTCCTCAGCCTACTCAATGTGAAGACACCCAGGATGAAGACCTTGATGATGATCCACTTCCACTTAATGAAAGTAAATCTATTTTCTCTTCCTTATTTTCTTAATAACATTTTCCTTTTTCTAGCTTACTTTATTGTAAGAATGCAGTATATAATACATATAAGATACAAAATATATGTTAGTTGACAGTTTATGTTATCTGTAAGGCTTCTGGTCAACTACTACTAATAGTAGGCTATTAGTAGTTAAGTTTTTGAAGAGTCAAAAATTACATGCAAATTAGCCACTGGGCAGGAGGTCGGCACCCTTAACCTCCACATTGTTTTAGGGTCAACCATATACAGAGATGGGGAGAATAAGAAAGAGAAAGAGAGAGAGAGAGAGGATTCAATTTCACCGAGTATTTTTTAATGTACCAGATCCTGTGAAATACTGTGTGTGTATTTTCCCATTTAGTCTTCATGATTTATTTTCTTTTCCTTTTTTTCTTTTTTTTTTTTTTTTTTGAGACAGAGTCTCACTCTGTAGCCTAGGCTGGAGTGCAGTGGCACAATCTCGGCTCACTGCAAGCTCCACCGCCCAGGTTTGCGCCATTCTCCTGCCTCAGCTTCCCAAGTAGCTGGGACTACAGGTGCCTGCCACCACATCCGGCTAATTTTTTGTAAGTTTAGTAGAGATGGGGTTTCACCATGTTGGCCAGGGTGGTCTCGATCTCCTGACCTCATGATCTGCCAGCCTTGGCCTCCCAAAATGCTGGGATTACAGGCATGAGCCACTGCGCCCAGCTATCTTCGTGATTGTCTAATCATGACAAAACTTTGTGCCAAATATCATTACTCCCAGTTTTTTTTCCAGACTAAGAAACAAAGGCTGGAGATTAGGATACCTTATCTATATTCACACAAAGATGACATTTATATTTAAATTTTAGATTTAAAGTTTTAATCCACCATAAATTTATGTTGATATGAATATAGCTTATCATTTAGGGTTATTTTCAAGTTCATGGCTTTTTGGCTCCAAAATCCATCAGAACTGCATGGAAGACTACACACACACACACACACAGACACACACACACACACACACACACGCACACTTGCCTATATGCAGAGAGAGAGAGAATGTGTGAAGAGGATCAATATCTCTCATCAGATTCTTTAAATGGTTCATAACCTGAAGATGATTATAAATCATCAGTCTAAGAGATGATTTTGTTCTAAATGGAAAGCCCAGTCTTCCTAATACTGTGTATTAAAAACCATCATTTTCCCTGGTAATTTAAAATGTTATCTTTATAAATAGCTAGAGCTCTGATGTCAGGAAGACCTGGATTTGACTCACAATTCAACCACCTGTGAATTGTGATCGTATGCAAGTGACTTGACCTGTCTGAAGCTATATCCACATCTGTAAAATGGGATAATACAGTATCTCATAAGCCCAGTTCTAGGATAAATTAGGTAATACATGCAGGGTACTCAGCAGTGAGTCTGCTTCATAGTAAACCTTCAATAAAAGTTAGCATTATTAATATAATACCCATATATACTGTGTTCTGGTCTTGAATTTTCTATATCACCCACTTATGTGGATACGTTTGCCTATTACTCCAAGATGCGAATATTTAAAGGGTCTTGGCTATATTGCCAAATCGCTTTCAAGGAAGTCTATACCAATTTACATCTGCATCCCCCATAGGCAACCTATCAGTGCCACATCTGCCACTCATCAGCACAGTGCATTCTGATCTTAAAGAATCTTTGCTTATTTGATGGATGAAAAGTCTTATGTTAACTTTAATTCATGGGTTTTTTTTATTTATTTGTGTGTTTTTTTTTTTTTTAGGTGGGGTCTCCCTCTGTCACTCAGGCTGGTGTGCAGTGGTACAATCATAGCTCACTGCAGCCTCGAACTCCTGGATTCAAGCAATCCTCCCACCTCAGCCTCCCAAGTAGTTGGGACTACAGATACACAAAACCATATCTGGTTAACTTTTTAAATTTTTTCTAGAAACAAGGTCTTTCTAAGTTGCCGAGGCTGGTCTTGAACTCCTAGGCTTGAGCAGTTCTCCCACCATGGCCTCCTAAAGTTCTAGGATTTCAGGAATGAGCCACTGCAAGCAGCCCCATGTTTCTTTGTTTCCTAATGAGGCTTTCTATTTTCCCCAAGTTTATTGACAATGTGTATTTCCTTTAAGTGAATGGCAGAGATGGCTGTTCTCCCCTTTTATGGGAACAGCAAAGCCAGACATGTGGCCACAGGACCCAACACATTTCCCAGTCTCCCTTGCTGAGTGTGCATATGTCACCAAATTCTCAACAAAACAATGTGTGCAACTTTCATCTCACATGAAGGAGAGGAACTGTCTATTTTCTTCCCACTGGCTATGCAGATTTCTCCACAGCCCATCTTCAACCATGCAGATGGGGAAAATGCCTTATGGTAGGGGGAAGCAACAATCTGGAAGTCATCCAGGTTTCTGCCTGTGAGGAAAGGAGCGGCCCCGGGGCACTCCCTGGGATAGTTAGATGGCAGAGATAGAAACTTCTATGCTCTTTACGATATTTAAAAAAAAAATTTTGTTACAGCAGCTTATTATTTGTATTATTAATAAATATTCTTTGTCCATTTATTCATTGGAATATTAGCACTTTTTATTGATTTGTGGGAATTCTTTGCTCTATTTGAGGGAAACATCTTTATGTAGTCAATTTCATTATGCTTTCTTGTGTGACATCTTCCTTTGCATTAGCTTAAAAAACTCTTTCTGGCCAGGCACGGTGGCTCATGCCTGTAATCCCAGTACTTTGGGAGGCCAGGGCAGGTGGATCACCTGAGGTCAGGAGTTCGAGAGCAGTCTGGCCAACATGGTGAAACCCCGTCTCCACTAAAAATACAAAAATTAACTGGGTGCGGTGGCAAGCGCCCAGCAACTTGGGAGGCTGAGTCAGGAGAATGGCTTGATCCCGGCTGGCAGAGGTTGCAGTGAGCAGAGGTTGCAGTGAGCCGAGATCGCGCCACTGCACTCCAGCCTGGGTGACAAAGCCAGACTCCGTCTCAAAAATCAAACAAACAAACAAAAAACCTCTTTCCTATATAGACATTACATTTATTCCCTTTTTATGATTTTCGGACTTCTCGTTTAATTCATTGATCTAGCTGTTCTTATTATATTGAATGAGTGGATAAAATATTTCAACATCAGTTTCCCAAATAATTAGTTTATTCTCACTTCTCAGCACCTTTTATAAAACAATGCCTCCTTTTCCTGATGATTATGATGCTATCGTCATCATACTCTATATATCAGTTATCTATTTTAGGATCTGTTTCAGAATTTTATATTCTGAATCACTCATCAGTCTCTTCTAGCACCAGTTCTACATTGCTTTAATAATTGTAGCATAAATTTGGGCAAATCTCTTTTTATTACTGTGGCAAGGTAAGTCAGGGCATTTGCCACGATGTTGTAAAATTTAAAGAAAGCATTTTATGGAGAAACAATATAAATCAAGGATTAGCAGAGGAAGCACATGATTCCCTGTTCTCTCATCATTCCACAGAGAAGTGTTCCAGTCCAGGGCACTGCTGGGCACACAGTGAGTGGGGCTGTGATCTAAAAGGGACTCTGCCTTCCCTACTCTACCTGGTTATAGTCAAGCATAATATCTGCTTTACATATGCATGTGCCCTGTACATTCACATTCACTCTTTTTCCTTCTTTACCCTTATATCAACAGAAAATCACATAATATATAATCAATTTAATATATGTTGTAGCCAGGTGCGATGGCTCACGCCTGTAATCCCAGCACTTTGGGATCAGTAGGTCAGGAGATCGAGACCATCCTGGCTAACATGGTGAAACCCCATCTCTACTAAAAAATACAAAAAAAAAAAATTAGCCAGGCGTGGTGGCGGGCGCCTGTGGTCCCAGCTACTTGGGAGGCTGAGGCAGGAGAATGGTGAGAACCCAGGAGGCGGAGGTTGCAGTGAGCCGAGATCGCGCCACTGCACTCCATCCTGGGCAGCAGAGCGAGACTCCCTCTCAAAAAAAAAAAAAAAAAAAATATATATATATATATATATATATGTTGCAAAAAGCCAATCAATTTTAAACTTTCTTCTATTTAAAGAAAATTCTTTAATCAACTGATAGTCCCTAGACATAAAGAATATTTTAAAGCAATAGCTAGTCTCACATTAAACTGCTAAAAAACAAAACAAGGCTGGGAGCTCTGGCTCACGCCTATAATCCCAGCACTTTGGGAGGCCAAGACAGGCAGATCACCTGAGGTCAGGAGTTCAAGACCAGCCTGGCCAACGTGGTGAAACCCCGTCTCCACTAAAAATACAAAAATTAGCCGGGTGGTGCCACACGCCTGTAATCCCAGCTACTCAGGAGGCTGAAGCAGGAGAATTGCTTGAACCCGGGAGGCGGAGGTTGCAGTGAGCTGAGATTGCACCACTGCACTTCATCCTGGATGACAGAGGGAGACTCCATTTAAAAAAAAATAATAATAAAAACAAAAGTAAAAGCTGGAGCATTCCAGTTTAAATGGGAAACAAAACAATGATACTTTTTTTCACCATTATTCTTTAACATTGTTCTGGAATTTCTAGTCAATGCAATAAAACCTGACAGAAATAAGACATTATTATTAGAATTGTAATAATACAAAGATATCAATATTTTCAGACAATACTCAGCATTTTCCAGGTATAAAGCTATGCTGTTTAAAGTCTGTCTTAGTCCATTCAGGCTATTATAATAAAATATCTTGGACTGGGTAGTTTATAAAGAACAGGTCTGGTGTAGAGACTCACACCTTTAATCCCAACACTTTCAGAGGCTGATGCAGGAGGATTGCTTGAGGCCAGGAGTTTGAGACCAGCCTGGGCAATTCAGCGAGATTCCATCTCTACAAAACCAAAACAAGGCCGGGCACAGTGGCTCACACCAGTAATCCCAGCACTTTGGGAGGCTCAGGAGGGAGGATCTCCTGAGGTCAGGAGTTCAAGACCACCCTGGCCAACATGGCAAAACCCCGTCTCTACTAAAATTACAAAAAATTGACTGGGCATGGTGGCAGCTGCCTGTAATCCCAGCTAGTCAGGAGGCTGAGGCAGGAGAATCGCTTGAACCCAGGAGGCGGAGGTTGCGGTGAGCCGAGATCACGCCACTGCACTTCAGCCTGGGCGACAAGAGCGAAACTCCGTCTCAAAAAAAAAAAAAAAAAAACTAAAAACAAACCAAACCCAAACAAACCAAAACAAAAATCCCTAGAATTTACTTCTTATAGTTCCAGAGGCTGAAAGTCCAAGATCAAGGCACTGGCAGATTGAATGTCTTGAGAAGGCCACTTCCTCATAAATGATGATCTTCTCACTTTAATCTCACATGGTAGAAAGGGCAAGGCAACTCTCTAGGCCTCTTTCATGAGGGCACGAATCCCATTCATGAAAGTGGGCCCCTCATGACTTCATCATCTCCCAGAGGCCCTGTCTTCTAACACCACCACCTTGTTTCAGCATAGGAATTTTGCAGAAGTCGGGGGTAGGACACAAACATTCAGATCATAGCAGTCTTATCAGAAAAGATAAACAGGTAAATGCACATAAGATGATTTTGGAAAAGAAAACTAATTATTAGAAACCAGCAAGATTATCCAGTGAATGATGATTGAAATCCCAGATTGTCAGGCTGTGAGCCAGTCAGAGCTGAAGACACCTCTTCCATCCTGGGAGGGACTGTGGCCAGGACTCGAGCTCTCAAGGTCTGGGTACTGTCTTTCCCCATAGCTCGAAACCACAAGGTGCCTGCAGTTGACCACTCCCTGAAGACCTAGCTTCAAAGCACAGACAGCTTTGTGTCTAACTCTGGTAGTAAACATATCCCCCATACAAGACCACTCTCATGCCGGCACTATAAAAAGATAGAGTAGCTGGTGGGGAGAGGAAGTCTTCCCCTGGACACAGCATCTCGGTCGTTTAGCGCTGTGGACCCTGTACACCTCGCTGTGGAATGATGACAGAAGGGAAGATCTTGTGCCTTCTCTTGTTGATCTTTGGTGTGGACATTCCCCAATAAAGCCTGTTCCTTATAGCCATACTTCATGACTTCGTGACATTTATTTAGCTAACGTCACCTGCATTTTCCCCTTTGGTCCCCAGTACGGGACAAATTCTGTTCATTCTAGTTAAGGCTTCTGGAATGACCCAGCCCAGGGTGGGAGATCACTCCTTGGGTGCAGGGGCAGGTCACCCGGCTGAGTGTGACTGTGGTACCTACATCACAGATCACAGGAGCCCTTGGTATTGGTTTCCATAGGAATGGGAGACTGAGGGAGATAAGACTGCCTAGGATTCAATCCCATAGCTTTTCCTCAGGAATCTATAGTTCTTTTAAGAGGTAAGGGTTAAAAAGGATGGGAGAAAGCCTCAAAACTACACTTCCATCCCATCCTACCCCCAATAGAAGTCCACAGTATCTTATTTTAGGATTCTTATATCATATCCTCTATAAGTAAACTTGGCCTGTGGTTTCATGTCTTTATTTAAAATGTTGATATTTTGTTCATTATGGATCCTTTTGCACTAACTTTGAGTTTTTACAACACTTCATTTAAATGGTATTTATTCTGATTACTTCACTCTAGTCTCTACACTTCCTGAAATTCTCAATTAGGCCAAGTCCTCTTTACGAATTGGAGCAGCTTTCCATCCCCTTTCTGAGGAGGTGAGTCTCTCCTGACCTGGAGAGACCACAATGGCCTCCCCAGAGAGGGGTGATGATCCCCGTAAGCAGTATCCCCACCTCCTTTCACCATTTCTAGCCCTATGACCAGACTCAAGCCAGAACTCAGACTGACCCATCTGGTGAGTATGTCCTGGTTGTTTAAAGTGGGCATCATGCTAATTGGACTGGCTTCTGTAGCCAGTCCTTGTCTGTTGTTAAATACGTTGGCTCTTACCCAAACATGTCTAATCAGTGTCATAATAGTATGTCAAAGTGATCAGCATTTTTCTTTAAAAAGTCTATTTGATGTCATTGATATGTTGAATTCTCCTACAAGAATTGTGTTTCTGTCTATTGCTAATTTGATTTGTAGAAGTTTTGTCTCTAGATAGATAGATAGATTTTTTTTCACAATTCAGCTTATAAAGTTTAGATGAAGACATTCACATTTTCATTACCCATTTTTTTAAATTGGAAATTACCTATAAAACTGTCTGGACTGGATGATTGTAGAAAACTTGAAATATAGAGAAATAAACAAAGAAAACCATAAAAATTCCCTATAATCCCTCAACCAGCGACAGGTCTTATTAACATTTTGGTTGTATATTTTATGAAAACTAAGATTACAAAGAATACAATACTTTGTATCAGCTATTTTCCTTATCCATCACACTGGAGAATCAAAAGAATTATCAGCTATCTGAAGGTGGCAAATTGCTTAAGAGACACATAAGCATATTATCTGAGCTTTGGAGGTAATCACCAGGAGAACCAAAAACAGAAAGGGTCAGGGATGGTGGCCTTTGGGAATGGGTGTTCTGGAGTGAGATTGAAGGGACAGTTTATTTCTTATTTTGCACCCTTCTGTTGAATTTTGAATTTTAATGTGTTTATATATTTCTTCTTAAATGATAAAACATTTATAATAGATTTAAAAAATATATACATGTTTGAATATTAATAAAAGAGGTACAGGAAAATATGGAGAAAAGATGGGTATGAAGATACTGGACTTCAGCATTCTACATATTTACATTCATATGTAAAATATGTACATACCACTTTAGAACACATGTCAGGAGCCAAGCTATGGACATAAATGCTTCTTTCATTTTATTCACTAATTTGTTTATTTTATTTTTAGTAACAGTAATACATATAATTGTAGAAAATGTAAAGTATAGAGAAGTATCTGTAATAATCCTATATAGCCACATCTAAAGTCAGATTCTATTAACATTTTATTGTGTATTTTATCAATACTAAGATAACAAAGTACATAATATTTTGCATCGTCTTTTTTCACTTAGTAAATACATTAGAAACATTTTTTGCAATGTTCTTAATTATTTTTTTGCATTGCCACTAGTAAATGCTTTCACAATAATCTGTATGCTATAACTGACTTAAAAAACTTCTTGTTTATGTGGTTGTTTTTTCCTTTTCTTTTTGCTGTTATATCAGGTTCTGGGGATAGATGGCTTGGATCCGTAACTTACTAATTGTGCATTTGTGAGTAACTCACCTAATGGCTAAGTCTGAGTAGTCTTCTTTGTTTTTCTTTTTTTTTTTGAGACAGAATTTCACTCTTGTCCCCCAGGCTGGAGTGCAGTGGCGTGATCTCATCTCACTGCAACCTTCATCTCCCGGGTTGAAGTGATTCTCCTGTCTCAGCCTCCCGAGTAGCTGGGATTACAGGCGCCCACCACCACGTCTGGCTAATTTTTGTATTTTTAGTAGAGATGGGGTTTCACCATGTTGGCCAGGCTGGTCTCGAACTCCTGACCTCAGGTGATTTGTCCACCTTGGCCTCCCAAAGTGCTGGTATTACAGGCGTGAGCCACCGCACCTGGCCAAGTCTTCTTTGCTAATGAAAATTATGAACAGAGTGCCTCATGAGGTTTTTACAAGGATGAAATGAGATAATGTATATTACAACTTTAGCATAACACTCGGCACATGGTAAGCACGGAATGAATAACTGATTTTATTCAAGGTATTGGCATAAACATATTTGTAGATAAATTTTTGTGCACATTATGATTTGTTTAGATGAGATCTTACAGGTAAAATAGCTGAATCAAAGATGTATTCATAAAAGTTTTGATAGGTATGGCTAAGCTGTCACTGGGGAACATTAACAATATATCAAAGATTCTTTTGCCTGAAATACAGTAGTTGTAGGTAGCTTTCACTTCCTTTCTTTATCAGCTTGTATAATTGGTTAATTTAAAGTTTGTTATTTATTTATTTATTTTGAGATGGAGTCTTGCTCTGTCGCCCAGGCTGGAGCGCAGTGGTATGATCTCAGCTCACTGCGACCTCCACCTCCCGGGTTCAAGCAATTCTCTCCCTCAGGGTCCCGAGTAGCTGGGATTACAGGCATCTGCCACCATGCCTGGCTAATTTTTTTTGTATTTTTAGTAGAGACGGGGTTTCACCATGTTGGCCAGGCTGGTTTTGAACTCCTGACCTCATAATCCACCTGCCTTGGCCTCCCAAAGTGGTGGTATTACAGGCGTGAGCCACCGCACCCTGCCAAGTTTTATTTTTTTAATTTATTTTTATTTTTATTTTTTATTTATTTTATTTTTTTGAGATGGAGTCTCGCTCTGTCACCCAGGCTGGAGTGCAGTGGTGTGATCTCGGCTCACTGCAAGCTCCACCTCCTGGGTTCATGCCATTCTCCTGCCTCAGCCTCCCAAGTAGCAGGGACTACAGGAGCCCACCACCACGCCCAGCTAATTTTTTGTATTTTTAGTAGAGATGGGGTTTCACCGTGTTAGCCAGGATGGTCTCGATCTCCTGACCTTGTGATCCACCCACCTCGGCCTCCCAAAGTGCTGGGATTACAGGTGTGAGCCACCGCGCCTGGCCCACATGCTCAAATTTTTAAAATGATTTAATGAAAATAGACATAACTAGAAATTCTGGTATTCCCCTTCCTTACCCCAGGGGGTCATCCCAAACACATGCATGCCCCCACTTTGAAATCACCTACTTAGAGTTAACTAACTCGTCCATGGCCGTATGAGGGGCAGAACAGAACTAGAATTGTGGTCTTCTAGCCCCAAGTTGTATTTACTGCTACTAAATTGTCCTGCTTCCTATCAAATATATACCCAACTTAGAACTGGGCCAAGGTGAACTGGGATAATAGTTTTCACTCTTGTAAAGTCTATATTTTGAAATATCTTATAACCACAAATAACTGAACTTTAGATTTAAGGCTAATATTAAAGGCACACTTGTGCTAACTTAGAATCCCCCACATTGACTTTAAGGTTATATCTGAGGAGAAGCTCCAAATTATTAATTTTCTGCCAGTCTAGCATAACCCTGACTTAAACCTGTGGTATATTCTTGGAAAGCTCCTCCACCCCTACCACAATACACTTCCTGAGCCATCTTTAAAAATTCTAAAATTATAACTCAAAGAGATTTCTTTAGGAACACAAGTGTGTCCTCTTGCTCTTGAAGAAAAAAAAACAGAGGTCATATTTTTCTCCATCCAAATATCCTCACAGTTGCAAATAACTTTACAACTTCATAAACTGAATTTCTGAAAAATGTCTAGTTTGATATGACCAGAATTCTCCTTAACTAATATTATTAACTAAAACTGGAGCTTTTATACTTCAGAAAGAGCTAAGAAAAATAGAAAAGCTACAAGGTATAGATAGCTTCATGGAAAGTCCTGACTTTGTCATTGGGATGAACACGAAAGGATCATCATTACAACTCCGGGCACAGCATGTTCTTAGTTACTTAGCTCAAGCGTTTCTCAAACCGGGCTCACATTTATAGTCGTAGGGCTCTGAGTTCTCTTGAAGGATTGTGTGTGCATCTGCATGTGCCTGCGTGTGCATGCACTTTCAAAGCATGGTAATCTGACCTATGCTTGTGTGGGATGCATATCTGGACAGTCTGAATGGTCCGGTTAACCTCAAGTGCTACCATTCAGTTTTCAGGGCTTGGCTTTGCGCTTGGGTCTGTGACTGCAGTGGTGCTGAGTAGGGCTGGTCTTATTACCGTGGGCTAAATTTGTCAGGACTCCGTTGCCAATCATAAAAACTGAATCCAAACTAGCTGCTTTGCAAAAGAGACAGGGACACCTACACCACAAGCCCTGTGTCCTGCAAAGATCAAATATGGTTAATTGAGGAAAAACCTTTCAAGCCAGAAGTGACAGAATACACCAGTCTCCCAGACTTTCCTTATCCCGGTGAGAGATGTGCCAGGGCCAGGCAGTGCGAGAATGCACGCAGTATGCAGGGACTCCACATCTATAATGTGCTACATTTTTTTTATACTTTAAGTTCTAGGGTACATGTGCACAACGTGCAGGTTCGTTACATATGTATATATGTGCCATGTTGGTGTGCTGCACCCGTTAACTTGTCATTTACATTAGGTGTATCTCCTAATGCTATCCCTCCCCCCTCCACCCACCCCACAAGAGGCCCTGGTGTGTGATGTTCCCCACCCTGTGTCCAAGTGTTCTCATTGTTCAATTCCCACCTGTGAGTGAGAACATGTGGTGTTTGGTTTTATGTCCTTGCAATAGTTTGCTCAGAATGATGGTTTCCAGCTTCATCCATGTCCCTACAAAGGACAAGAACTCATCCTTTTTTATGGCTGCATAGTATTCCATGGTGTATATGTGCCACATTTTCTTAATCCAGTCTATCATTGATGGACATTTGGGTTGGTTCCAAGTCTTTGCTATTGTGAATAGTGCCGCAATAAACATACCTGTGCATGTGTCTTTATAGCAGCATGATTTATAATCCTTTGGGTATATACCCAGTAATGGGATGTCTGGGTCAAATACTATTTCTAGTTCTAGATCCTTGAGGAATCACCACACTGTCTTCCACAATGGTTGAACTAGTTTACAGTCCCATCAGGAGTGTAAAAGTGTTCCTATTTCTCCATATCCTCTCCAGCACATGTTTTTTCCTGACTTTTTAATGATCGCCATTCTAACTGGTGTGAGATGGTATCTCATTGTGGTTTTGATTTGCATTTCTCTGATGGCCAGTGATGATGAGCATTTTTTCATGTGTCTGTTGGCTGCATAAATGTCTTCTTTTGAGAAGTGTCTGTTCATATCCTTTGCCCACTTTTTGATGGGGTTGTTTGATTTTTTCTTGTAAATTTGTTTAAGTTCTTTGTAGATTCTGGATACTAGCCCTTTGTCAGATGGATAGATTGTAAAAATTTTCTCCCGTTCTGTTGGTTGCCTATTCACTCTGATGGTAGTTTCTTTTGCTGCGCAGAAGCTCTTTAGGTTTTTTTTTTTTGAGACGGAGTTTCGCTCTTGTTGCCCAGGCTGGAATGCAATGGCACGATCTCGGCTCACCGCAACCTCCGCCTCCCAGGTTCAAGCGATTCTCCTGCCTCAGCCTCCCGAGTAGCTAGCATTGCAGGCATGCGCCACCACGGCCGGCTAATTTTTATTATTTTTTATTATTATTATTTTTAATAGAGACGGGGTTTCAGCATGTTGGTCAGGCTGGTCTCCAGCTCCCGACCTCAGGTGACCCGCCCACCTCGGCCTCCCAAAGTGTTGGGATTACAGGCGTGAGACACCGTGCCCAGTAGTGTGCTACATTTTTATAGGAGACATCTATGTGGTGCTGTAATGGTGGCAGCTCCTTGCTCAAGAACTTGGCATTTCTGGAAAGAGAGAGCCTCCGGGGCGCAGCAGCCAGTGTCAGCCAGTTCTTCTATTGAGCTCACGCAGGCCTGCAAAGCCAACTCTTGTGAAGCTACTGAAAAGCTTCCTCCTCCGGAGGTGGAAGTGGGTTGAGGGTGAGGTGTGGTGGGGATGGCCATATTAGAGCACAAGGTTTATAACACTCATGTGAAGCAACCTTAAAGGAAAGAAAGAGCTACATTCTTTCAGTAGCCAAGTATATAATACCACGGAAGGGATCTAATTGCACCTGCTGGAGTCACTTGCCCATTTACATGGCCAAAGGGAATGAGTGTTCTGCTTGTCAATTCTAGATCACGTGGGGACTCCTTTGGAGGGTAAGGTACTATGCTTTGCTGCTCATTGGCACAAAGGAGTTGCGAAAGAACAGCTATCCAAAAAAAAAGGATGTTTGTGAGAAAAGAATCAATCAATGTCTTATACTTGGGGAAAGGAGAAGAGAACAGAGCAGGCTTAATTCAGAAGTGATGCATTTGAGCTGAATAAATGCCAGATGGCATTGCCTCATGCTATATAATTAAATGATTTAACTATATACCAGCCTATAATTTAAGTAGTAGTTTGAATAGAAGGAAGTGGTGGCAAAATTAAGTGATCTCATGGCACATGGTGGCATGCCAACTCTAAAAACAATAGCTTTATAGCATCAGTACCATATTCATACTGTAGGGTTATTTAGTTCCATCAAAGCAGAATCAGCCACCACGTTAAATTAATGTTATGCATTTTTATTGGCTTTTTTGTATTTAACTAATAGATATTTTATTTTTGCTTTTCAAATGTATGCTTGGCTTTATGTTTTATGTATTTTGCTAACATTATGGTGAAATTAATCTCAGGCGATACCAGCCTTGACTGTTCTTCCTTTATCCATATATTACTTAATTTTGAGAAGTCTCACTAACATACCTATTTCATCTGAAATCCACCTTCTTTTCTTTTGCAGGCTAAACATTAGAATTTCCTCAACTTATATGGTATAGTTTTAAGTTCCTTCAGACTTGGAATTCTCTTGGGGAGTGATATTCTTTGGAAGGCATATTAGGATTGCCTGAGCAAACAGCACAGGTGCCCCTCACCTTCTGAAATGCTCTTCTGTAAGTGCGCGTGCCCCATTGTTGAGAATCACTGCCATAGAAACTCACTTTAACAATGCAACATCTCATGTGTCTCAAGAGTCCCAGGTGGCAACTGTCATGGTTTTAGAACATGACTCCCTTAAGTGTAGTACCTGGAACTATAATGGTCTGTGTATGTTATAGTGGCTAAAAAGCAGAGTGAAGTGCTTCAATGAGATCTACAGTTCAATGAATTGCCTATCTAGTTCTCAAGTTTGTCTCTCCCTTTACTTTGAATCTCCTGCTACTGACTGTGGTAAGCAGGGAGTGGGCTGCCCCGATCCTCCTTAAAGGAAGAACGAGCTGCTCTGCTGCCTGCTTCTTCAGGATCTGCCTCTGTCACAGAGGCCACCTGGTCCAAGGTCCATGACCTTCCAGCGGGACTATTTGGCCAGCCAGGGCACACTCTGATGAGCAATCATAGCTCCAGAGCTTCCCACCAAGTCGGCCAAAGATTCACTGGGTCTGTATCACAGTTCAACATCTTCCTCTATTCACTCCTGCTTCCGCCCCCTTCTCCTCACAGGTGTTGGTCTCTAATAAACATCTTGCACCTGTAACTCCACTTCAGCCTCTGCTCCCGGAGAGCCCAGCTGCAGCACCAACTTTGACCCAATACTGGCTGTGCTTTCCTGGCTGCCCTACAGCATGCTAATCTTGCCCGACAGTCTAGACAGTCCTGCCACTTTCTTGGCAACTCAGTGTACTCTGCTGTGACACTCACCTTGAGGATTCCCAGAGCAGATCCCAAGATACAGGGATAGCAAAAAGTATTTTCAAACCAGTAGGCTTGCAAGCATTGTTCTAATACTGAAAGATTCATAGTGACTTATATTTATTGGATATTTATCATTTGTCAGGCACTGTTTAATGTGAATTAATCACAACTGTATCAACCATACTATTAAAGTTTCTTAGGTGAGGAAACTGAGGCATGCTTCAGTCCCCAGTTGGTGAGTTGGTGGAGCTGGGATTTAAATGTAGGCATCTTCACAGCCCGTGTGTCTTACTCAATTTTCTCTTACTCATATTGAGCTTAAGCTCAAGTTTCTTATAGTTCTGGAGGCTGAGAAGTCCAAGGTCAAGGAGCCACATCTGGTGAGAGCCTTCTTCCTGGTGGGGACTTTACAAGGTTCCAAGGCAGTGCAGGGTATCATATGTTAAAGGTGTGCAAACGTGCTAGCTCGAGTTTCCCATTCTCCTAAAGACACCAGTTCCCCTCCCATGATAATCCATTAATCCATTAACCCATTAATCCATGAATGGCTTAGTCCATTTATGAAGACAGAGCCCTGGGGATCTAATCACCTCTTAAAGACCTCACCTCTTGATACTAACATATTGGAGATTAAGTTTCCACATCAGTTTTGGAGGAAATATTCAAACCATAGCAGCATATTAGCCACTATACCAGTGGTTCCCCAGTTTTGGCCCACACTAGAATCACCTGGAGGGCTTATTAAAACACAAATTGCTGGACCTCATTCTTAGAATTTCTAATGTGGTAGGTCTGAGGTGGAGTCTGAATATTTGCATTTCTAACAAGTTCCCAGGTGATGCTGACGCTGCTGTTTCAAGGACAACATTTTAGGAACCACTGTATGTGATACAGCCTCTCAAGTACAATTTCAACTGACATTATGTGAAAATGCATTATAGTTTTCCTCATGATAAATAAGAGTTTCCAAGTGCAATAAATTTGGAAACCACTAATTATACAATCTTGTCATTGACTCTCCAGTTTCAGGCTCTCCTCATCTTCCTAGTGCTGTCTTTCTCTGTTGCCCACATGTGTCCAAGGACATCTGGCAAGAGCATCCTGATTACAAAATCCAGTGTTGCTTTCCTTGGATATCAACAGAAACATGGAATTGATTAATAAAGGCTAACATACTTGAGATGCATAGTTAGGCACCATGAATGAGACTTTTAAAATAGAGTTGCCATTATTAGCTCTGTCAATGGTAAGGCCAGAAAATGCACAACATAGCCTCATACAGTTTTTTGTTTTTGTTTTTTTTTTTTTTTTTGAGACAGGGTCTCACTCTGTCACCTAGATTGGACTGCAGTGGTGCAATCACGGTTCACTACAGTCTCGAACTCCTGGACTCAAGGGATTCTCCCGCTTCAGCCTCCTGAGTAGCCTGGGTAATTTTATAGAGAGAATCTCACTTTGTTTCTCAGTCTGGTCTCAAACTCCCGGGCTCAAGCAATTCTCCTGCCTCACCCTCCCAAAGTGCTGGGATTACAGGCATGAGCCACTGCGACTGGCCCCTCATAGAGTATTTTAGAAATTTTGGGAAATAGATTGTGTGAAAGCACATTTAAAAAACAACAACATTAGGGTTAAAGTTAGGGATAAAAAAATAAAACATTTTTTAGTTAAAAAATAAAATAAAAACAATTAAAATATTTGTAATACTTCTCAATCTTGGAAACATTAAAGTGATTTGTTGAATTATTTTAAAACCATGAATCTTTTATTTGTGCATTAATTCATTTGATTAATATTTAGTAAGCACCCACCGGGCCACAGCATTGCACTTGCAGAATCATATGCTATTATACTTGTTATAGTAATAATCACTAGTGTTTTTATTGTCCTCACTTTCTGAGGTGCTTGAAATCTTTTCCAACCTGAGGTCCTTGGTTTTCACATCATCTCTGTGAAGTAGGATCACCTATTATGTTATTTTGTCCCATGCGTACCCTAGAAAGCTAAGGTCCTGAGGACCGGGGCTGCCTCCAGGTCGACTCTTGCTGGAACCACAGGTGGAACTTACAGAGCTGGACTTTCAGGCATCAACCTGCCAAACAATTTTCTATCTCTGGGGAATTTTCTGTCCTAGGTTTCTATGGCAAAATACTTACCTATCATTTTGCTTTTTTGAAAAAGAAAATAATTCTATAAGGAAGTTAAAAATTAAGATTTGTTTTGACTTTCCAGTGATTCCAGACAGGAAATCTACTCCTTGTACTTGAAGCCCCAAGCAAAGGAACTGCACTTTGCCCTCTAAAGAATCTGTAATTTATAACCCTTGGAAAATAATATTCCAGGTTAGGAGAATTGTGAAGGAACTGGAAGGGGGAGTCACATTTATTTGTGGGATTGTAATATTATTATTCTTTTTACTTAGAGTGCAGAGAAACTGAACGGAATTATATTTGGCTTTTTAAAAGACAATGATCCTTCATATGAAATGATATATCCTGATCTCATTTTAATTAGGAAGGTGTCAAATTAAAAAGTTGCATTGACTCTGCTGTTGCATAGGTCAGAAATTCAGTTCCTGATCAACAGAAGATGGTACAAAAGAAACCAGGAACTGGAGAACAATTCAATGCTAAAATGTTAAAATCTTTATGAGTGTCTGCAATTCTCAAGTTTTATAAATATGTCCATGATACATTTTTACATTTTGTCTGGGTACATTTTCAATATACTTAATGCTTGTTTTCTTTAATTTGTAGTGAGTGCCAAGTTAAGTGATTTTTGCACTGATTATCATTTAAATATAAAAACCTAATAGAGAGCTACTGCTTTGTGAAAAGTCTCTGGGACAGTCCAGTACATGAATATACAATAAATTTTTAGAGCATGCTTATGGAATTCAGAGAAGCCACAATATAAAGGGACCAAGGCTACATGGTTTTTATTCAATTAGGTATCCAGCATTGAAATTATTAGTTAAGCTGATAAAATTAAAGAACATAAAATCCCAAATTATCTCTCTCCCTACCCTGCTTAGTACGAATTCATTAAATTAGTGATTTTTAGGCAATAAGGTTTTATACATCAATCTGTTGTCATCTAAAATCTAAAATCATGGAAAATCTAAATTACAAAATAAATTTACAACAAATGCATTCATATTAACATGTACACCATTGGAAAAAAACACCCAAAAATGAGTCATACAATTTTCCCTAGGAAAAATCATGAAATCAAAAATCAAAACAGGTCGGGTGTGGTGGCTCACGCCTGTAATCCCAGCACTTTGGGAGGCTGAGGCGGGTGGATCACGAGGTCAGGAGTTCAAGACCAGCCTGACGAACATTGTGAAACCCCGTCTCTACTAAAAATACAAAAATTAGCCGAGTGTGGCAGCGGGTGCCTATAGTCCCAGCTATTCAGGAGGCTGAGGCAGGAGAATCATTGCTTGAACCTGGGAGGTGGAGGTTGCGGTGAGCCAAGATTGCGCCATTGCACTGAAGCCTGGGGCAACAAGAGTGAAACTCTGTCTCAAAAAAACAAAACAAAACGAAACAAAACAAAAACATCTAGGTTTGGAGGATAAAATAAACATTCATAAATAATGTAATTCAAGGAGAGACAAGAATACTTCTTTAGGCCGGGTGCAGTGGCTCACTCCTGTAATCCCAGCACTTTGGGAGGCCTAGGCAGGTGAATCACCTGAGGTCAGGAGTTCAAGACCAGCCTGGCCAAAACCCTGTCTCTACTAAAAAAAAACAAAAATTAGCCAGGCGTGGTGGTGCACGCCTATAGTCCCAGCTACTCGGGGGTGCTGAGGCAGGAGAATCACTTGAACCTGGGAGGCAGAGGCTGCAGTGAGACAGGATTGCGCCATTGCACTCCAGCCTGGGCAACAGAGCGAAACTCCATCTCAAAAAAAAAAAGAAAAAAAAAAAAGAATACTTCTTTCAATGCCTGCTAGAGTAAATGAAATATAATATTAATTTCATTTTATAGAAGAGGCATTTTAAGAAAACATATTACAGTGTATTTTAATTGTTATTTGACAGCAATAATAGTCATTCACAAACACCCACAAATTAATTATAAGAATTATAAGCTAACTAAAGTAATCTCAAGACATTGATAGATCAAAGGAGCTATGAGTATATTAAAGAAACAAGAAAAAGTAGAGGGAAGATAAAGGTGAGATAAGGAATGGTGCTCTTTCAGCATGAAAGTATGTTCTGGGTGGAGGTGCAGTGTGTGTGAGGGTGATCTATCAGGATGGAGGTGCAGTGTGGGTGAAGGGTGATCTATCAACATGGAGGTGCTGTGTGGGTGGAGAGTGATGTGTCAGCATGGAGGTGCAGTGTGGGTGGATGGTGATCTATCAGGATGGAGGTGCAGTGTGGGTGGAGGGTGATCTATCAGGATGGAGGTGCAGTGTGGGTGGAGGGTGATCTATCAACATAGAGGTGCAGTGTGTGTGAGGGTGATCTGTCAGGATGGAGGTGCAGTGTGGGTGGAGGGTGATCTATCAGCATAGAGGTGCAGTGTGGGTAGAGGGTGATCTATCAGCATGGAGTTATGTGGTGGGTGGTGGACCCACACTTCTAATAGCTCTTCCTCTTCTTATATGGAAACCCATTCTATTGGGTGTCCGTATAAGAATATAAGCTGAGAAGGACCTATGGTGTGGGGCTCTAATTCAACGTCCTGTTATCTTTGGAAGGCTTCATAGCTAAATATGGTACAGTCATATTAGGTGTTAGGGCTTTAATGTATGAATTTTTGGGGACACAATTCCATGCATGTCACCACCAAACTCATTTCCACAGCAGTTTCACTGTTTTATAATTCCACCAGTGGTACAGCAGGCTTCCAATTTCCCCACATGCTTGGAAACAGTTCTTATCTTCCGTTTTTTTCGCTTGTAGCCATCCTAATGGATGGGAGGTATGACCATGGCCCTTCATGTGGGGCCTGGGACATGTGAGTTGAATAGCTCACCTCGTATATTAGTTCTTTCTATTTATGACAAGTAGCACTGCCCTAATATGCCAGGCTATGCAGGTGGGAAGTAGAGAAAAAAAAGAGAAGACTGACATTTCAAAGAAAGGGAGGAACAATTTAAGAAAATCTAAGCTGAGTGAACAGGGAGTCTATTTTTAGCTAGGCTGGATTACAGTTTCATTTGGAGGTTGCATCTTTTAAGAGTAATCATTTAAAAGGAGGCAGAGCTTCCAATTGCACGGTGTCATTTACAACCTCAGCCGTGGTTGCAATAGGGATCTCATGCCTCCTGCTGTCTTCTGGGCACTGAGCAATCTTCAGAGAATGTTCACTTCCGGTGCTTGCACAGAAAGGAAACCTGCAGAGAAGTCCTGCATGTCATAAAATCAATATGGAGAGAAGAACACTTAATCCTGTTTACTTTAATCTAACTACCTAAGGCTTTGGATTCAGTCAACCATAACTTCAAAATCTAAGGCAAATTGAACACAGTAGGGCCTCTTTGAAAAGTCCTGAACACTCTATGAGCTTCTCTGTGGTTTCAATAAAACACATTCTACACAAAGAACACTGCAAACTGGGAAGCATCATAGCTTTGTTTTAAATATTTGTAAGTTTTTAGCTCATTATATTTTCTGAACTTTGTGTTCTACACAAGCAAGTCCCATAAGGAACTATATTCTTCATGTATTAATTTATCAAGTATTGTATATACAAATACTATGTCTAGAAACAAGGTACTGTGTTCATTGCTGTAGGCATGCAAAAATTTAAAAATAACATTGTCGAGGAGCTTATAGAGAACTACAGGCAATAAACTCATGTGTGTAAGAGTAATAATACAAGACAGAAGTAATAGTTCACAAAGGAGATTAAGTGCAGCAGAGAAAAGAAAAGATCACTTACAGCCAGGACTACCAGGAAAGAATTTTAAAAAGACATAACATTTGATTTAGACTTTAAAGAAAGATGATGTTTAAGATCTGTGGAGAAGTAGAGGAGGGCAATCAAGGTCAAGGGAATATAAACCATAGACACTAGCACTGAAAATAGGAAAACTGGAGTGTATAAACAAGGAACAGCAAATGGTAGAAATAAAAGTGGATAAGTTGCTTGGGATCTGGTCTTGAAGGTCCCTGTATTGATAAGGAGGTAAATTATTTCATGTTCTTGTTATTTAAAATTTGAAAATACGTCACTATGTATTTTATGCATTTTATGTGAGTTTTTTAATGCTGGCATTTTATGCTACATATATCTTAGTATTTTATGATACATATAAAGCATGGTACCAGCATTTTTCCAGCATTTTATGATACATATAAAGCATGGTACCGGCCAGGCGTGGTGGCTTATGCCTGTAAGCCCAGCACTTTGGGAGGCCGAGGTGAGTGCATCACCCAAGGTCAGGAGTCTGAGACCAGCCTGACCAACATGGTGAAACCCGGTCTCTAATGAAAATACATAAATTAGCCAGACATGGGGGCACTTGCCTGTAATCCTAGCTACTTGGGAGGCTGAGAGAGGAGAATTGCTTGAACCCGGGAGGTGGAGGTTGCAGTGAGCCGACATCGAGCCACTGCACTCCAGCTCGGGCGACAGACAAGACTCCATCTCAAAAAAAAAAAAAAAAACAAAGCGTGGTATCTACTGATCTGAATTTACTTTTTGAATTTCCAGTTCAAAACATGATAAACACATGTATGTTTTAAAGAAAAATAAACTTGTCAATGTAAATTGTGGCTGTCATCCTAAAATAGCTGGTTGAAAGGGAAGTAAATTAAAAGATAATATATACATACAAAAGAAGAGGGGATGAGGGTCCCCTTCCTGCCACCCTGTCCCCCCACCTTGAAGTGGCTGGCATTGAGAAATGAAGCAAGGGCAGAAGGAATTCCAAACATACTTGGCCTTTAAGACCTATAAAAAGGAGGCATGCTATTTATATATGACCTACTTACAAATACCCCTCATTTGAAGTAGCTGCTCAGGACAGCCATCAGAACTTAATTCTGGATATTCTAGATTCTCACAGCTCCAGCAGTAAAAAGCCGTTTCCCCTGGAAACATGATTATACATTGTGGTTAGTTTCTACAGTACTGATATCTGGCGCTATACTCAAGTTCACAGTCTTTCACGGCTAATCTGAAACTTGTGAGAGAAAAATCCACTATTAGTTTATAAAAAGGTTAAAACATCCACTAAAGTACAGAAAAACCATAAGTAACTCCATGTATTCCATATACCTACCCCACAGATTCCATAATTGTCAAGACTTTGCCACATTGGCTTTTCTTATGTCATTTTTCTTTTTCCCTGAGGCATCATAAAGCAAATTTCAGGCATTGTCATTTCAGTCCTACTACTTCAGTTTGCAGCTCTTATCTGCATGAGTATTCTCATAGCTGTAAACTAAAAATAAAATCCTAAGCCCTCCAGCAACCAACTGAATGAAACCCTCCCCAATGGGCCAAGGGGACCCCAGAGCAACCTAAAAAACTGAAGCCCCAGCCATGACGGGAAGGGAGGCTGGACATGCCTCATTACACCCCTTCTTTTTGGAGTTTAGGCACCCCTGACCAGCATTAACATTAAGACAGAGATCATAAGACTGAAAAACTGACTTTGTGGCACTAAGATACCAAATTCCAACCTGACTCTGGTATAGCATCACATGACAGAAAACCCTGAAGGACATAAAAATATTTTACCCCAAAATATATTTCTTTGCCATCCTTTGAAATGGCCCCGAAAGCTGTCTTTGCTGGGGGAAATTTGTGTCTGTAGGCAATCTCCATTAATGCAACTAGGCCATTGCTGGATCTAGGGGAGATGAACTAAGAGTCTGATACATTTTAAGGTCTGGAAAGCAACATTTATTTTCTTTTTTAAAGAAAATATTTTTCCTATTTTAAAGAAAATAGGAAAACAACCTATTTCCTTTAAAGGATGTTACCTGGAGTCTTCATCTACATAACAAGAACCTTCATCTTCACAATCCCCCTTATCATAATTCAAGCATCTCTTTCCACTGACTTCAAGTCCTGAGATAGAGCATAACTCTTTCAACCAACTGCCAGTCAGAAAATCTTTGAATCCACCTGTAAGGTCCCATTCCAAGATATATCCTGCCTCTTTAGGCTGAACCAATGTACACCTTTCATTTATTGACTTATGATTTTCCCTACAATTCCGGTTTGCCTTGAATGTGTGAAACCAACCTGTAACCTGACGGCCTCAGGCACATTTTTCTCAGGACCTCTTGAGACTGTCCCCCAACCCCTGGCCATGGTCACCCATATTGGCTTAGAATAAACCTCTTTAAATATTTTACAGAGTTTGGTTTTTCCATCAACATAGCTAACCTTCATGAGTTTAACACACCTAACCTTAAACTATAATTATTTTGTGTCATCTAAAAGCAGTCAGTAATGAAATCACCCCTGTTGTCTCGAACATGCCGTTTTGTTCAGATGGTTTATTTAAGAATTCAAAGAAGGTGCACAGGTTACATTTGATGGTTGTGTCTGTTAAAACTTAATCTGGGCTGGGCTTGGTGGCTAATGCCTGTAATCCTAACACTTTGGGATGCTGAGGCTGGTGGATCACCTGAGGTCAGGAGTTCAAGACCAGCCTGGCCAACATGCCGAAACCCCATCTGTACTAAATATACAAAAATTAGCCGGGCATGGTGGTGCACGCCTGTAATCCCAGTTACTCAGGAGGCTGAGGTAGGAGAATTGCTTGAACCGGGGAGGTGGAGGTTGCAGTGAGCCGAGATCACGCCACTGCACTCCAGCCTGTGCAATAAGAGCAAGATTCCATCCCAAAACAAAACAAAAAAAAAAACAAAAAAAAAACTTAATCTGGAGCAACCCCCTTCTCTACCTCCCCCTTTTACATGCTCCTAATTTGTTACTTAAGCTGGTTCTGTTTTCTTACAGAACATAAGATGTTCAGCATTTGCTTCTTTGTTTCTTTGTTGTATTATTAAATTGCTCCTTTGCACCCCCAAATGCATGTTCCAATTGGATAGTGTCAGTTTCCTGTACATTAATACTTTCCTTGAGCATAAACAAATAAGATGAAGGAATCTAGTGGGATGAACACAAGCTATTTTTTTAAAAGACAGGCAGAAATGTATTTTAATGATACTTTACCACTTTCTTGCTGTGTAACTTTGAATACATTATTTAAGCTCTCCAAGTTAGTTTCATTGGTTTCCTTATGAGTATGCCAATAATTTCCTGGAGTTGCTATGAAGATTAAACACAGTCTGTAAGAGACCAAATGCAATGCCAAGCACATATGATAAGCTCGATAAAACTGGCAGCTATTTATAGAGTTATTTCAGTGTACCCCAACTCCCGTTTTTGGTAAGCGTCTCCTAAAGGACAAATCTGCTTGCTACAATTATCAAGACTTTTGATTTATTTCCCATATCTTACTAATTATGAAAAGAACAGCTGGCTATCTTTTAGAAGAATCTAAATTATGAGTGAGTAGTGTCAAAAGACAAAATCGCAACAAATTTAGTTTAAAGATCTCAGTTGGCTTTATTTGCTATTCTAGAATCAGAAAACACTTCATTCCACAAAATAGAATCAGTGTTTCACGGAGCTGAGCCAAAGAGGTCAGCTTTATAGACAGAGAACAGCCCGAGAAAGCAGAACCCAAGAACACAAAGTGAATTGTTCATTTCAAAGTGACTTTCCTTGTAAGGCAGGAGCAGGGAAATGGAACAATAGAGAAATAACCAATTGGTTAACGTCACATTACTTTTTATTGTAAGGATTAAAGCAGTTATCCCTTTCTCCTGATAGAGTCACATAACTTAGTTTCAGTTTGGTGACCTGTAACTATGGTGCGAATGACAGCATTTTGATTTTTAGTCTAGTCTGTTGGGGCCTAGTGCAGGAGCTTAGTCCAAAACAATGGCCTCCTATAATTTTTATTTAACAAGTAATTTAAAATAAACCCAATTTAAACCTAATTCTATTACATGGGGCAACTATTTACAGAGCCTTGACAAGGTGGTCTAGGCCAAAATACCTAACGGTGTTTATGTGCATGGAAAGGAAAGAATTTATGAGCAAGATTTTATCTTTCAGCCCTCCCTGCTAACTGAAGGCAGGAGGGTACTCTGTCCAAGGAACCCATAGTCAGTCTTTCCTGGTGCAGAACAGTGGTTTTGGTGTCTTGGCAGGCAGCGTTCTGCTTATAAGGGGGTTTCTCATAAACTACCTTCCTCTGGGGGCTTTCTGAAGCTTCTTCTGAGTACTTTATGGGAAGCTGTCTCTCTCTTAAGGCTGCTGTTGTTGCTGCTACATCGGCATCTCTTGGCATGGTGGCATGTTGACAGTAATGCTTCATTGCTAAAGGTTACCTACTTCATTTCTTCCATTTCACACTGAAAGTGTGAAAGAAGGAGCTATGATTACATAAATCTTTCATACTATTTTATTGGCATGATTATACTACTTGTTGTATATGATACTACTATATGATCAGCATATACTTGTTACAAATGCAGAAGACAGAAATATGGTTATCTGCAATGTGCCAGAAACTAGGATGGTGGTTCTCAAAGAAAAGTCCAGTAACTCCCTGTATCAAAATCATCTGGGATGACAGCTAGAAATGTATATTTCTGGGCCTTGCCTGAGACCTAGGAAATCAAAATCTCTGGAAGATGGACCTAAGATTCTGCATTTTAACATGCACAGCATAGTTTGAAAATCTGTAAGATAACACGGGAGGAAAATTCCCTGAGTTGAAGAACCTGTCCTAGAATTACATGGGTATAAAATGGAGAAGCTGATATTTTAATCGAGGACTGCTCAACTTCAAAGACTATGTTGATTCCACTATGCTACATTTCTTTTCTTTCTTTTCTTTCTTTTTTTTTTTTTTTGAGATGGAGTTTCATTCTTGTCGCCCAGGCTGGAGTGCAGTGGAGTGATCTCAGCTCACTGCAACCTCCGCCTTCCAAGTTCAAGAGATTCTCCTGCCTCAGCCTCTCAAGTAGCTGGGATGACAGGCACGCACCACCATGCCCAGCTAATTTTTGTATTTTTAGTAGAGACGGGATTTCACCATATTGGCCAGGTTGGTCTCAATCTCTTGACCTTGTGATCAGCCCGCCTTGGCCTCCCAAAGTGCTGGGATTATAGGCGTGAGCCACCGCACCCGGCCTCCACTATGATACATTTCTAATTGCCAGTGACAGTCAAATAATTTTCACTAAACCACTCCTACCAATTGTACATACGATTTTGCTTATTAATGAACTCGTACATTTCCAATACCTTAGGATGCTTCATAATTTGTTTTTCCCCTTCCTTTCTGGTAGAGAGATTTATTGGAGTGGGGTATAGGCCATTCTTTCTCTTTAATCTCTAGTAGTTCCTTTGTTTACTCTCCAACCCCCAGCCCCTCCCTTCCTTCCATCCTCTAATCTTTCTCCTTGTCCTTCTTCTCAAGTGAATGAATTTCCAATATCAAGTTCTAGCAAGTTTAAAATAAAAACTGAAAATGCAATGCAGAGCCTTGGTACCATTTTGCAGAATATTTTTAGATTATTTGCATTTATTTACCACAGCTATTTTGTATCTGTGATATTGGAAATGGTAATCATGTTCTGATCATAACTCTGCCCCTGATTTAATGACAACACATGGAAAAGCTATGATTCCCCCTTTCCAGAAGTTTAGAAATAGAAGGGAATGAAAAGACTGGAAACAAAGAAAAAGATCCACATTCAAACACTGGAGATTTATTCTGAAGACAGAGTCATATCATCTTTACCAATAATGAAACACGTCAAGGTGAATGTTATTAAAGTTCTGGTCATTTGTGGTGTTTAAGTTGTGTGAGGTCCATTTGTAACCCAGTTAGTAAAGAGGAAGATATCTGGCTTAGATTTCAGGAGCCTATAATCAGGTCTTAGAGGCAGGGCAGCTTTCTGCTTAAAACAGGCTTTTATCTGAAGTCCTGAATGAATGACTAGAAATAGGCTTCTCCTGATTGAAATTGTCTTGCTCCAGAAATACAATATGTATCTAGAATCCTGAAATGCAAGTCCTTGGGAGACAACAGAAGAGGACCTGAGGGAAAGAGAGCTGCAATAAGAACTCCCAACTTCCCAGTCTGTCTCTCAAGGAACTCTAAGAGCTAAGGTTCCCAGGCTTGCCATGCAAATGAGCATATGCTAGGGATTTTAAACCATGGTCGAGGGAAAAAGACTTTCACTTGGTCTCTTCACATTTCTACTTTCAAGATTGCAGATTACATTTTCTGGTTTTTTTTTAAAGACATTTTCCTGTAGAATTATTTCTTATTAGGTCTTTCATTATTTTATTAAATGGCGGGTGACTGAGGTTTGGTGTACAAAGGATCCCTTCACCCAGGTAGTGAGCATAGTCTCCTATAGGTAGTTTTTCAACCCTCCTTCTCCACCCTCTCCCCTCTAGTAGTCCCCAGTGTCCATTATCCCCATCTTTATGTCCAAGTGTACTCAATGTTTAGCTCCCACTTATAAGTAAGATCATGTGGTATTTGTGTTATATTCTTTTTGTTGGGGAAAGGAAACACTGGTGTAAAGAATTATTCTGAAATAAGGGATGTTGAATTTCATTTCCTCCTAGTTAGAACCACACAGGTTCTTCTTCGCTCAGCTCTGTATGTTCCACCTGGCGGGATAGGATGTCTTCAGTCCCCTCTGTCTCTGCCAATTATGGGTGGTTATACTTGGTTCTAGAGCTCATCCTGATTAAGCAAGGAAGTCTGTAGGCAGCAGGATGTCCCCGATAGTGAGACCTGGAATTAGTATTTGGTGCTTCTAGAGTAAGTCTTGGACATTTTCATGTCAACTAGACACACATTTCTCCTAATCAGTGTTTGTTCAGTGCACACAACTGGATAGCCATGTCACTTCCCTCGACAGCCCAGGAGCTCCTTTCCATTTTCTGAAGCTGAGTAGATTAGGTTGCATCCATGACATGCACTTGGGTTTTCCAGCCCCCATGACATTTCCTATATATCTGGACTTCTGCTCCAAACTAGACCAACTGCTCTCCCACTTAACTCCAACGACTGCCATTTTGTTACAACTCTTGCTACAATGATCCATCTGCTGAATCTATTCCTTGGGGTCCACAGCCCTATGAAAACAGGTTTGCCTCTAAAGAGCCAGACTCACACAGCTCAGTGAATTTTACTAATTTGGTTTCTGCTTCCAGCCCAAATTATTAGTCCCATCATGTCTTGAAGCTGTACTACCTTTAGTTAATGATGATGACTTCCTTTGCCCCTTTTCACCCCAAAGTTATTTCCCCTAGAAAAAGTAGTTAACATCATATCTGATCATCAGAGATCAACCCAAAATTCTTGCAACATGCACTGTTTCAAAGTAATTTACATAAAAGAAGAAAATAGTGTCTCATTACTATACTAATTCAGGTCTTATATGAAGAAATTAGGTTGACATCCAACTTTTGATGTATCCTTTCAGCCCAGATCTCTCTTGTAAGTTTCATATCCATATATCTAACTTAGATCTATCTACCTGGATGTATATCATGTATCAAACTCAGCATATCACACACTGAAACTCATACTTTTCACTTGTGTCCTTCCCTACTTCTTTCTCTAATGACAGTAGCTTTTTATAGTTCAATAATCCAGTCTCTTGCCTAGCCTGACCTTGACCTGTGAAAAAAACAGCTAGCTCCTGCATGAAAAATAAAATACAGAGCATAAAACCTTTTACAGATTGAAAATAATGGGCCCACGTTGGATAAATTATTTTTTTGCTAACTACAATAGCAGTGTTTTAAACACTCAGCTAAAAAGTGTGCCATGTGGCAAATAATAAATAAAACAATATTTATTTTAACAAATATTTACTATATGCTAGGCACTGTTCTAAGAGTTTTGTAAGTATTAATTCACTTAACACACATAATATTTTTATGAGGTAGTTAGTGTAACTATATTTTTCAAATGAGGATAATGATTCACAGAGAGTTCAGAAACTAGTATAAGGTCACAGAACCAGGATTTGAGCCAGGTAGTTTGCTTCCAGAACCCAGGCGCTCAGCTACTGCACTGTGCTACTTCTCCATGTGTGGTGTAGAAACATGGGGAAAATATTTGTCATGGCAAAATTTTATTTGTTACTTTTGGCATTATTTACAAGTATAAAATATTATTCATACATTATAATACCAGTCATGTAGAGTAGCTGGGTAGAGAAGTTATTATCATTGCAGAAACTACATATTGCAGAAATAATGTCTTTATAGAAGAGGGACTTCGCTTTTTCTATTCATATGTAAGAGACATACAAGTGCTACTAGTGCACACTATTAACTTTACTCAAAAGGCTAACTACAGGATATCTTCTAAGAGGAATTTTGTCTACTGTATTTCTCTGGCGCACATGGACTCAATACCTCATTGCTTTTCACTTGTGATGATGTCTTTTTTTTATTGCTCTACATCATCTATCCATTGAGGATGTTGCTTGATATGTGTCCTCTGCAAGTATATAGCAAGATTCTCAAAGCCAAGAGAAGTATCTTGTAATTTTTTTTTTTTTTTTTAGATGGAGTCTCGCTTTGTCACCAGGCTGGAGTGCAGTGGTGCGATCTCGGCTCACTCACTGCAACCTCCAACTCCCTGGTTCAAGCGATTCTCCTGCCTCAGCCTCCCAAGTACCTGGGATTACAGGCATGCACCACCACACCCAGCTGATTTTTGTATTTTTAGTAGAGACGGGGTTTCATCATGTTGGCCAGGATGGCCTCGATCTCTTGACCTCGTGTTCTGCCTGCCTCGGCCTCCCAAAGTGCTGGGATTACAGGCGTGAGCCACCGCATCTGGTCCGAGAAGTATCTTGTATTTATATATTGCAATGAGACTTCTCTCTCACGTCTTCACACTAAAGCATCATATCCCTCCAGTTCTGAATTTCTCTTGAGCTTCACAATGTTCTTCTGAGCACTGAAGCAATATAATTTAACTATAATTTATAAAGCTGAATAAAGCGGTACATATATAATGCCCAGCAGCAGGTACCTCAAGCTTTACATATCTCAAAACTCAAAGTATTTTTTTCCGTCAAATCTGTGCCTCCTCAATATTTTCACCTTCAGTAGCAGAAGTTTTTCACCCATGACTTTTCTTTCCCATTCACCAAATTTTAAAATTCCTCCATCACAAATGCCTCTTCTGCCACCTCTTTTTAATTTCCACTAGTCCTGACCATGTGCAGGTCATAATTATCTGCCTCTTAGACCACTGCAGTAGTCTTCTAATAGATTGCTCTGAATCCAATTTCTAATTAGTAGAATCCATCCTTTGTATTCCTCCCCATGATACATTTCCAAATATTGCTATGATGTACTTATTCAATCAAAAAAATTTGGACAGAATATAGTCCAAATTCTTTACCATGGCATTCAAGGCTCTCCAAAAACTGGCCTTGGATTCCTAGCTGGCTAGCTCATTGAGGTTAGGAGTATGTTTCTTAAAATATCTGGATAGAGCAGCAAGTTCTGTGTGTCTCTGTAGATGTGTGTATATTTATGTACACACATTTGTTTTATTGATGGAATCATTAACATTACTCTCATGCATCATGATTGCTTAGCTGGAAATGTTGTCAAATAAAAAACAGGGCCAGACAGTAGTTGAAGTGGCAAAAACACTGTAGTCAGGAACTACTGCAATAAGAGAAAAGAGACCTCAATACAGAGCTGGGCTCAATTCCAATTACAGCATGGACAAGTGGGGATTTAAAGCCAAGGGGGCGTCAGGTCAAGTGGATGGAAACTTACTGATAGGGAACATCACGGGTGGGAGGGTTCTGATTAAGCAGGCCTAATAGGATTCTTGCTGAAGCCAGGCCAGGGTGGTCAGATACCAATGATAGAAAATGAAGAATTTGATCAGGTATCGACGGTAATCAGGTATGAAGGGTTGGGGGTTCTCTCTCAACAGCCGTAGCGAGACCTTTGCTACAACTCGGTGATCCAGGGTCCACAGGATTGGAAGCCAAGGTCAAGGCCTAGTCGGAAAGAAGGCTTAGATGAGCCTGACCAAAGTTCAGCCAAGGAGAGTTTTTGCCAGTGTATTCACACTCCGTGTGTGTGTGGTGTGTCTGTCTCAGTACTACTGTAATTGATGAGGCAGGGGCTCCCTGGCCATCCCAGCAGTGTCACCATCTTTTGGGTAGAACAGCAGACACAGAGATGGCCCACTGTGGACAGTTAACTAACTGGCTCTGTTTAGCATGGGAAAGGAAGGAGAGTCCTGATTTTCTTTCAATATTCCTCAGGTATATTGATCTGACCCCCAAGTTACATAAGATCTGCAGTGATAAAACCATTACCCAAAAAACTCACTGTCTTTTACCACTTATATCCTCAGCATTATCATCAATTGTCTTAATACAAGGTTGGTGGCAAAAAACGGCTCACAAGTATGCATACAAAGGGGCCAAACACATTGAGCAGCAAAACCCCCAAAGCAGACACCGCCCGAGACCCGCTGGAGCGCTTCCGCAAATCTCGCGAGATAGCAGGCAGCGATGCCTTTTGCTCCGGTTTCTCGTGAGACCCCGGGGCTTCAGCTTCTCGTTTGCGGAGCCCGCGGCGGCGTTTCCTGGGGCAACAGCAATGGCGGCCTCGCTGTCCGAGCGGCTCTTCTCGCTGGAGCTGCTGGTGGACTGGGTGCGTTTGGAAGCCCGGCTGCTGCCGTCCCCCGCTGCCGCAGTGGAGCAGGAGGAGGAAGAGGAGGAAAAGGAGCAGGGGGAGGCCTCGTCGCCGCGCGGTCTGTGCCCCGCCGTGGCCTTCCGCCTGCTGGACTTCCCCACGCTGTTGGTTTACCCTCCTGACGGCCCCGGCGCTCCCGCCGCCGAACCGTGGCCCGGTGTCATCCGCTTCGGTCGCGGCAAGTCCTGCCTCTTCCGCCTGCAGCCTGCTACCCTGCACTGCCGGCTCCTGCGGACCCCGCTTGCCACCTTGCTGCTGCAGCTGCCCCCTGGGCGCCCGACGCCCACCCCACAGCTCCTGGGGGCCTGCGACATTTCGCTGGCCACCGCAGCGCACAGGGTCGTGGGGCCGGCCGCCTCCGGATGCTCCCACCGTCACCGGGGACGTTTCCCCCTGCATAATCGAGTGGGCGAGCGGACTGGGGACATTGCACTGGCCTACCGCCTGACTGACCTGGGAAGCCGCCTGCTGAGCCAACTTGAGCGGCCCCTCACCTTCACCCGCACAGGAGGAGGAGCGGAGGTCAGTCCCCAAACCCAGCAGGAAAGACAGCAGCTGCAGCAGCCAGCCTCACAGCCAAGCCCAAAAGAGGCTGATAAGCCGCTGGGGGAGTTAGAAATCCCAGAGGCACAGAAGGATTTGAAGGAAATGGTTAAAAGTAAGGCCGAATGTGATAATGTGGGTTCTGTGGAGAATGGCAAAACCAATTCTGTTGTTACATGTTCAGGTGCTGGCAATGGGAGAAATGTTAGCTCCCTAAATGAGGAAGTCACAGAATTGGACATGGAGACCAATATATTTTGCCCTCCTCCTTTGTATTACACTAACTTGACCCAAGAAAAACCGCCCCCTGCACAGGCTAAAATCACCATTGAGCCTCAAATGAATGCACCTGAGGAAATGGATGATGCTTCTCCTGAAAAAAAGCGTGTAAATCCCCCAGCACACAGGAGTTGTCTAAAGCATCCAAGTTCTGCAGCACACGAACATCCTCCAATGCTTGTAAATCCTCCACATATTCAGAATATAGGAGCAACTAATCAAACATGTCAAACTGAACAAAATCGAATTAATACAATAAGGCAGTTGCCTTTGTTAAATGCTTTGTTAGTTGAGTTGTCCTTGTTATATGACCAACCTGTGACAAGTCCTGCTCATATACATCCTCACCTAGCCTGGTTATATAGGACTGAGGATAAGAAGTCACCCGAATCTTCTGCCAAATCCACATGCCGGTCTGAAGCCAAGAAGGATAAGCGTTCTGTGGGGGGATGTGAAAAGTCAGTGAGTCTTCAGTATAAAAAGAACCAAATTGAAAACTATAAGGAAGATAAATATTCTGAAAAGAGCAGTGGTGCCCTCCATAAAAGAGTTCCAAAAGGGAGGCTACTTTATGGCTTAACAAATACACTAAGACTACGTTTAAAGCTGACAAATCCTGATATGTTGGTGGTACATGAAAAAAGAGAACTATATAGAAAAAGACAATCACAAATGTTGGGTACAAAATTCAGAATTCCGTCATCCAAAGTTAAACTATTAAGCTCTGCAGAACAAAGTCAGAAGCCACAACTGCCTGAAGATAAGTATTTAGATTCAGATGCATCTTTCACTGAAAATAGTGATACCTCAAGACAAATCAGTGGAGTTTTTGATGAGCCCAGCACAAGTAAAGAAACTAAACTGAAATATGCAACTGAAAAAAAGACAGTTGATTGTAGTAAAAATAGAATCAATAATGTTTCATTGGAAGAAGTTGTGAGTCCTGCAAATTCCATTATTCCAGAAAGGCTTACCCCTACAAATATTCTGGGAGGAAATGTGGAAATGAAAATCCAAAGTCCATGTGTTTTCCAACAGGATGCTGTTGTTGACAGAATTGTAGATAAGGAAATAGATATTAGACAGGTCAAAACCACAGATAATGACATTCTTATGGCTGATATAAGTGACAAGAGAACAGGTAAAAATAGTTGCTATGAAAACATCTCAGAACTGAAGTATTCAGATGATTTGTCTAGCCCTTGCTATTCTGAAGATTTCTGTACCAGTGAGGACACCAGCAGAAGTTTCAAAGCTCATGATAGCAGTTCAAGGACAGAAAATCCAAAACATAGTCAATATACAAGCAAGTCTAGTGACACAGGAGTGTCCAAAAAGAAAAATAGTAGTGACAGGAGTTCTATCCTTAGCCCACCTTTTTCAGCCGGGTCACCTGTACACTCATACAGAAAATTTCATATTTCAAAGACTCAGGATAAAAGTTTGGAGGAAGCATCTAGTATCTCTGCTAGTGATTTATCTTCAACACATTGGACTGAACAAAAAGAAAACCAGATAGATCAAAATAGTATGCACAATTCTGAAATTACAAAGAGAGCTCAAGACATCTCTGTTAAAACAAGAAGTAGTTGGAAATCTTTAGAAAAAAGCCAGTCACCACAAACATCCCAGGTGAGTTCTTACCTGCCTTCAAATGTGTCCGAACTTAATGTCCTGGATAGCAGTACATCAGATCACTTTGAAGAAGGCAATGATGATGTTGGTTCACTAAATATTTCCAAGCAATGCAAAGATATTTGTGAATTAGTAATAAATAAACTTCCAGGATACACAATGTAAAAATACATGCTTTTAAAAAACTTTCAAGGACCTATGTGTACTGTTAGTGAAAAAAATTTTAAAGCTGTTTTAGTTCATGAATTATGTGAATAATTTTTTAAAGAAATATGAATTAACGTTATTCCTTTGATGTTTAAATGGTATTTTACCATTAAATCTGATAATATTGATTATTAAATCATATAAACAGATTTCTTTTTAAATTGTTTAATCATAAGAATAAAAGTGTGTCTTTCTAAATTGTCTCTCTTAAAGTGTCTAGTCTACAGTATTGATCATTCTAAAGCTGACTTCATGCACACCACTGAAAAAGAAGGCTAGTTAGTAAGGACAGCCTCAAATTTTAATTGGAACAAATTATTTAACAAATATAGAAGACTTACTGTGTTAGATGCAGAAAGGTGCAGAATCTATTTATGATAGAGCCCTGCTGTTTTAAAAGCTTACAGTTGTATGTAGATAAGAAGTCTTCCTTGACATATACATATCCCATATCCCCAATAGGTGAAGTTGCTTTTATATGCTCTCATAGTGCCCTGCACCTTTTGTTTATAAGCCACAATTTGTGTGATTACTTGATTAAAGTTTATCTTCCACTAGGCTTCAGTTGTGTGATGGGATCATATTTGTTTTACACATCAGTGCATTTTTGTATCTAGCACAATTCCTGGCATGTGGCTGCAGTGCAATAAAAACATTTGTTGAAAAAAACGAAGCCCAGGCATTTAAAATACCTAATGGGAGGGTTTAGAATTAAGCAGCAAAAATAAGCAGATTCCCTAAAATAAACCTGCAGAAAATCCTTATTGGAAATATATTTGACTGTAATATTTCTGTTTTGCTTGGTATAAATAGCCTTCAGGTGTTCTCTGAAATATTTGGAAAGGGAAACTTAAGAAGGTATCTTTTATACAGTTTCTGATATAGGAGTTCAGTTTCTTGTCATTTCAGTTTGTTCAATGGTTATTTTTAGTGTATGGAACTTTGTTTTTATGAAATCCAGTGATAATTTATAATTTATTCCATTGGTTTTATATTTAGACTTTATTCTGTGTTCAAATATTTACATATATTTTCTTCTAGCTGTGTTATACTTTAATTTTTAGACTTTTTAATATATCTAACGTTTTTGAATGTATGAAGTGAGGTTCTAATTTCCTTTCTTTAAAGGTAATTAATTATATAGGTATTCTGAATGATCATAATACTAGAATATAGATAGATGGTAAAAAGAGAGAAGAGGATGTTACATTTTGGGGAGCAATATGAATAAAAGAGTGATGGGAATGAGCCTGATATATTTATGGGACAATTTAAAATATTATCTTGAATAGAATGATCCACTCATGCTACAGAGTGGTAGAAAGGACATTTGTTGAGTAAGGAAAATGCCAGATTACAGAGAGCCTCAAATGCTAAGTATAATAATAGAATTCTAAGCAATAGGAATAACAGATTATTTTAGGTTATAAATGAGCACTAGTAAGTAGTCATGACATTTTGAATATTTTAAATTATTGAAAATAATAAGCAGAGAAATTATATCAGTTAAAGTTTTGAGATATGAAAGGTTTCTGTGGCTAGTGGCTATGATCTTAATTTTTCTAAAATATAAAGCATATAGTATAACATTTCACAAAATCAAAATATTGTAATGCCAGGTATTGTAACTAGATGTTTAATGATGTGAACTGTGTAAATTGTTTAATAGCAATTTGTCATTACTATGGAAGAGACAATAAAAATATAAGCAATATCAGAATCATCAAAGAAATAATTCCTTATAAACCAACGTTTTATTTGGTAGAGAGTAAGTCATTGTCTGTGGTAAGAATAGGTAAAATGATTAATTTAGCAAGTCTAAGGTACAACAAGACCAAAAAACTAATGCACTTTAAATTACAAAGCTGAGTAGCTGAATCCGCTTCTCTTTGAGTTAATCCATGAATACTTATTTCTAGAATTGTGATAATTGTTTCTTCTAGTCTAATTCTAGTGAAAATATCTGTTTTCATGTATTTAGTCCTTCCTATTACATTCTACAAATTCTACTCCATGTTTTAATTCTACAATCTATAAGCTTATTTTAAAAGAATTTTGTAATAGATACTATTCATGGAGCCTTATTTATCTCCTTAGTTGCTTAAAATTATTGAAACATGAAATAGTATTTCAAGTCACAAATAAGGGAGACTGTCATTTCATTGTAAAACCAAGCTATTGCAAACCTTCCAAAAGGTCTTCTGAATATCATGGGTGTCTAAACTGCTATGGACAAAGCTGAGTGGGAGAGGGTCTAAAATGCAAAGTGAGCCACAGAAAAGATGTTAAGACCTACCTCTATGTAATGTTGAATGTTTACAGCTTAGGAACCAACCACCAATAATAAGTCCTCTGAACTGTTCCCATAAACATTTGCAGAGGGCTGTGCAGATGCATACAGTACGCTGGGTTTTTTCCCTTCACTTACAATGCATGCTATTGATGACATTTTCAGATGCAAAGAACAATGATATTAAACTTCTATCATGCAATTATTATGGCTTTCTGCTGAGAGCCACTCCTTTACATGTCAATTAATTTAGATTTTTCTTCATGTACAAGCAGTGAATTTAGTATGGAATTACATTTAGGAACCAGACTTTTATTGGTAGCAAAATATAGGTCAAGACTGTTAATTAAAAAACCCAGCTTTTAAATTACCACACTTGTTGGCAAGGCAGATAAATTTCATAACAAAGCAACATATAAATAATATTTAAATTTCCTGCATCAAACTGTCCTTGGGCCTAGAGAAAGACATTCTTCAGTCGGTTTATGTTTTAATTTAGATTTAAATATTTAGGGAGTTGTACAGAATGACAATATATAGGCCAAAACTTGCTGAGTCATTCTTTTCTTATTTTTAACCTAAAACAATACAAGGAAAACTTCATTTGGTCAAGGACCAAGGCTTTCTTAAGTGATTTTCTCTGGAGACCTAACTGTCATGCCTGGAAGTAACAGACTTCAGGAGGATCTTCATTAGCTTGGAGTGCCAAGCCTTAGTGTTAGAAGTATTTCGTTGTTTTTAAAAACTCTTCTCAGATCTCTGTTATACTGAACTATAATAATTCTAGAAAAAAATTAGAAAACTTAGATAAGAGGTTTTGCTTCAAAATTGTGTACTAAGGAAAGGTTATAGTGTTTTCCTTCCAAAATTCCACGGAAATGACAGACATAAAAATATGAATGCACCCGAAGTAGCCTTGGAAAACAAGGAAAATGCTGGTGGTGGACAAGACACCCAGTTTGAGGAACTTCTGGAAGACACAAAGCAGTTGAGATTATGTTGATGAAAAAATTGGTTACAAATCCACTCTTCAACACAGCCCCATGAGAATGCTTCTGGAGAAATGAGAAGATGGTATTTTCCAACAGAGCCCCAGAAAAAGTTCAAGCTGGTCGGCAGGGCTTGGGCATAGGAGCAGGTTAAGGGACAACTGAGGGAAAAGCAGAACCCTGAGGACAGGCAAGAAGCTGGGGTGGGCTCAAGGTTACCTACTAGAATAGGTATTGGGACCAAGGAGAAAAACTATTTTTCACCTTTGACACCAAAACATATATTCAAACTGTCTCAATGTTATTGGAGCGACTACTAACCCTAGTGGCAAATTAAAATGGTATAAACCTGGTCATTGGAGACAGACAAATGGCGTTTGCATCCTTGATTATTTTACTCCTTGGAGACTTTCTTCATTATAGAATTGGTTTCAGGATTGAGTCAAATAACATATATAGCATATATGACAATGAGTGTGAGTGAGTGTTAGGTGATGTATTTAATGATATTACAAAGAATGCACCGTGGTATCTGTATTCCAGCCTAGGGGGATGCATTTTCAATTAAAACTTCAGTCAAGAAATCAAGTCTTTCTTCCAGAAAGTTTAAACAACTTTCCTATAGCATAGCAAGGCAAAAGAAGTCCATGGTGATAAAAGAGTCAGCACAGACTTCTGGCCAGGCAAGAAGACTTTAGGTCACAGAGCACAGCCACAAAACCAAGCAGAAGAAGGAGCCCTTCTCAGAGTACTAAGCAAAATGGGGCATCTAGCTTTGTGCAGAGTACTTAGGAGAGGGGACTACAAAATGTCCTTACTATACAGAAAGAAAGGAAACACTGATCCAGGTCCCCAGTAAAGACAAAATTTTCTAAAAGAGCAAGAAAGTGGTGTATCAGTGCTGGGAAGCATACGTTTCCCTGCAAATCTAGGTAAGTAGCCCCTCCTATATGAGGTTGTTTTAAAACCTCCTAAACAATTTTTTTTTCCTGTTTATATATAGTCCATGTTTTTTCATAGTAGGTACACAAAAAATGTTTATTCTTTCCTTTGAATACCTTGAGGTCTGGGGTGGGGATGGGGTGAGTGGGGAAGGAGCTGTCATAATGCATCATAATAAAATAGGTAGAAACTTACAGAACGAGTTGGGAAGGGATGAGACTTAGCTTTCAGGCCAGATACTGTAACTGAGTAGTAGAGCCCTTGGTAGCAGAAATCCATGAAAAGATTTGGGTTTTAAATTGAAAGGAAGTTTGTGTTTTACAGGAACAGGGCAGCACAGGAGATTAGATGAGCTCCTGAGCAATAGTGAGACAAGGTAACAGCTGAAGGTCATACTCAGAAAGAACATAGAAGAGAAGAGGTCCATGAGTCAGTAAGTCGGTGACTGCAGGATCAGAAACCTATACTTATAGCTTGACTATTTAGGATACTCTATGTTATGTCCCTTTCTATGTGCTTCTTGTTTTTAATATCGTTCTTTTTGAAGGATCTTCTAGTTGATCCATACAAGCAGTAGGAAATGACTTTGGTTGTGGCTATAATTGAGCAGAAATCCTAAAGGGAGAGCAGCATATCCCTAGAGTCTACATTATCAAAAGACTGAGAAAAAATATATAGGGCCTTTTAGAAAGTCCCTTCTTTTTACCCAAAGATTTCTCGTTCAGCTCTTCTTTACTGAAGACCTTGGAGCACTTCACAATTTGTTTTATTAAGGGAAGCTGTTCAATCACAGAGAGTCTCACACCCATCAGCTGCCTTGAGTACTGTATCTCATTACTAACAATTTCAGCGTCAACCTTGTGGAGTGAATTGGGACTGAATTCTGGACTCAGAATGACGTAACAAATAGTGGATTGCTTTAGATACAGAGGAGTCTATTTTCAAAAGAGTTGGCCTGAAAATTGTTTCTTGCATATCCAACATTTTTAAGACTATTTCCAAGTACTTTGGGATAGTGTTTATTAACCTGAGGGAAAAGATCTTTGTAATCGCCTGAGAAAGTCCAGCATGGGCGACAAAAGCGAGACTCCATCTCAAAAAAAAAAAAAAAAAAAAAAAGTCCTGAGTAGGAACATGCACGCCTCTTGTTAGCAAAGTACTCTGTATCCCTGATATTCTCTGTAATAGCCAGAAGCCAAGTATGTCGGAGGGCAGAACTTATATTTTCAGGGGAAACTTCCTTCCATTCTAGTGCTTCTTTTCTACAGTGATTTCTTGGTGCCCTCTTCCTACCTCACTGATCACAGTGTGAGTTCCTACTGTCAACCTCTAAAAACCAGTGTGAGAGGCAGGATCTTACTAAAATTATGGCTTCATTTTTCATTGGCAAATAGGATTGTTAATAATTTGTTGATGTGTTGTTGTCATTAATTTTAACACTAACGTCTTCTTATACTGAATAGCACTTTACAGCTTATGAAGGACTTCCACTGTTTCACTTCATCTTTACCAGAACCCTGTGAGCTAAGTATTAATATAGATGAGGAAACAGGCTGTTTTCCATATTCATTGCCTTTCTCACTTTCATAGAGAAACTGAAAGACTTTCAGCATAAATCTCAGAAAAATAATGTTTCTTCAATCCTTATAATATCATTTCCAGAATCAGAGTCTATCATTAGATTAAATTCCAGTTTATTTTATTTTGTTGTGGTAAGAACACTTAATATGAGATCTACGCTTCTAGCAAATTTTTAAGCATACAATTCATTCTTGTTGACTGTGGGCACAGTGTTGCACAGCAGCTCTCTAGAGCTTATTAACCTTGCTTGACTGACACTTTATGCCCAATGATTAATAATTTCCCATATCCCCCTCATCTCAGCCCCTGACAACCACCATTCCATCCTTTGATTTTACACATCTGACTATTTTAGATACCTTGAGCAGAGGACCTACCTAAGCAATGCCTGGACTCCTGACTCATGAACACTATCAGAAAACATGGCTGTTGTTTTAAGCTGCTAATTTGTTATGCAGCAACGGAAAAATAATGCAAGTGGCCATTGAAAAACACCATGGCAAATCAAGAGGGGGAGACTTTGAAAGAAAGGAAAAAGCTTTATATTTTAGATACTTTAAGAAAGATCTATTTTTATTCCTTTTTTGAGCAATAAGACCTACATTTTCATTTTTGACAGAGTGCCACAAATTGTATAGCTGGCCCTGGTTGTTACTCCAAGCTGGTAGAGGCAAATCCAATTGCTTACATGTTTTCCATTGTGTTATCCAAGTACATATAGTATTTGGCACTACCTTTGTGGACATAGTTATGTGTATCATACTGGAGCATTCTCTGTTGGGGGTTACACATTTTCTCTTCAGAATCTAGAACATTATCTTTAAAATTTTAATTTTACAGTCTGAACTAAAATGCCTACATTTCACACTACTGACAAATTTGGCTTCTAACACTTGTATACAGGATTACTCATAGCAACTCTTAGGAGGTAGAGCTAATGTGATTCTGCATACAGTATTTTCAGTATGTAACATGAAATTATTGAACAATACATAATCATTTATTAACTGTCTCTGTTCTTGTCAGTTACGGTGATTTCCAAGGATTTTTATAAAGATTGGCTTTCTTTTTTTTTTTTTTTTTTGAGACACAGTCTCACTCTGTTGCCCAGGCTGGAGTGCAGTGGCACAATCTCGGCTCACTGCAAGCTCTGCCTCCCGGATTCATGCCATTCTCCTACCTCAGTCTCCTGAGTAGCTGGGACTACAGGCGCCCGCCACGACACCCTACTAATTTTTTGTATTTTTAGTAAAGATGAGGTTTCACCATGTTAGCCAGGATGGTCTCGATCTCCTGACCTTGTCATCCACCCGCCTTGGCCTCCCAAAGGACTTTCTTAATAACGTTTCTTTAGCACTAGTTGCAGACTTCTATAGTAGTGCTATGCCCTTCAAATGGGTTGTTTTGCCGATGTTCTTGGGATATGTAAGTGTAACCAGTATGGCCCCCTGCACTAGTGTGGGGTATAAATATAACAATCCCCCTTTTACATTCCAGTGGATTATTCTAGCTCCATATATTTATGTTAGCAGGAAATCCAGCACCAAGCTTTTATGAACTCCATCATCCTAAATGGTCCAAGATCCTGAGAAGCTTACTTGGCCTTATTTGCATGGTTGCTCTTGACAAATGCCAGGCCATGTTGCCCACCAACTAGACTTGGTTTTCAACTGCTGTGGCTTCTATTGCTGTGACACAGTGTTGCACCTAAAGACCGGTTGCCTCTCTGGTTCTGATCGCCACACAGATCTCCAAGGTACAAGTGATTATGGTTTTTACTCACGAGCTAACATTTATGGGGTGGCTGGGTCTGAAGTTGTCTTAAAGGCCTTCCTCATCACGATCTATATATTCTGTGTGGAACAAGGATCACTAGTACAGGTTCTTACTTTCCTTGTTTTCTTGGGTTTTTAAGGTCCTTTCCTACAAGAGAACTTTGACTGACATTATCCTAAAACCTCAGAGTTCCTAATAATTTTAATCATCTAAAGAGAAAGGGTCATGGGCTTTATCTTATTCCTCACTGAAGCCTACTTATCTCCATGTAAATTTACTTTCCCTCTCTCCATTTCCACAGAATCACAAAAAGAATCTGAGATTTGTAGGCCGATAGATGTTGTCTTAGTTCATTTATGCTGCTATAACTGCATGCCACAGACTGGGAATTTAGATGAACTGAAGTTTATTGGCTCACAGTTCTGGAGGCTAAGAAGTACAAGATTGAGGGACTGGCACTTAGAGAGGGACTTCTGCTGCATCATAACATGGCCAAAGGTGAGTGACCGAAAGAGAGTCAAAAGGGGGACAAACTCATCTTTTTATAAGGAACCCACTCCCATGATAATGACATGAATCTGTTCATGAGGACAGAGCCCTCATGGCCTAACCACCTCTTAACCGTCCTTCTTCCTGATACCATTCCAATGGCAATTAATTTCAGCATGAGTTTGGAAGGTGACAAATGTTCAACCCATAACATATGTTATTCTACTTCTATTTACATAACCAAGAGTGACCTTTATAGTGTTATGGGAAGAGTCCAAGAACTTTCCTTGCAGAGTTTTCTGTGTCCCCTTATGGAAAAGCAGTTGGCAGTGCTAACTTAAATAAATAAAATTAGGTTTACCTGTGCCAACTACCTGTACAGATGTGTATGTTGAGAATGTCTTATTCCATTTTTTTCTCCCTAATCACTAGCAAGGAGGCTAGCATAGTGTCTTCACAAAATATATTGTCTCAGTCCGTTTGTGCTGGTATAATAAAATACCAGACTGGGTAATTTATTTAAAAAACAGAAATTTATTTCTTACAGTTCTGAAGGCTGGGAGTCTAATATCCTGGCACCAGCAGGTTCAGTGTCTGGTGAGGACCCAATCTCCAATTCCAAGATAGTACCATGTTTCTGTATCCTCTGGAGGGGATGAATACTGTGTCCTTACATGGAAGAAGGGACAGAAGAGCAAGAGAGATGAACTCCCTTCATCAGGCCCTTTCATAAGGGCACCTAATTCCATTTATGACATGACTCAATCACCTCCTAAAGGCCATATCTCTTCATATGTTGCATTGGAGATTAAGTTTTAACATGAATTTTGGAGCAGATGAAAGCATTCAAACCATAGCATATATGCTTCATGAATTTAGGTGGAATTGAATAGAAACAATAATCAACACTAGCATAAATTCTTATCTTACCAATTAGGGTGTTTCATACTTTGTCTACCTCACTGCTTAGCTAAGAGTTACTCTGCTATCCAGAAATTTGGAGGTTGGACGCTGGGAATAATCATCCATGAAACTAGCTTGCTTAGTCCCCTGCTATCTCAAGGTGTAAACCAAGACAGAACTATTTTGATAATCTCTCAAACCAATCCACTTGGCTGATAATATTTGGATCCACCTGGCTTAAGAATGGAGATGACCACAGACCAGGGTGATATCACTGCCCATTCTTGATGCTGCCCCATTGTCTGAATTTACTCTTGGATGAGTTATGCAAACTGACTTCCCCCAGAAGGATGCACTTTTGTAGCGGATGTTTTTCTGGCTGACAATGGTTCCAACATATGGCACCTCCTAGGAGACACCAGAAGATTGAAACGCTCTGATCTCCATGCTTCAACTGCATTCCTTCAAATAGCTTGGTTATAAAACCCACAACAAATAAAACTTCCTTTAACACTATCAGAGTGTTAGGAAGAGCTAGACTGTGGTGTATATTTAGACCACTTTGTACCTGAATTTAAATTTTAACATTCTCTTCGTAGGCAACCAGTTTCACTGTGTGCACTATACAGAAGGATAATGCAAATGAATGTGGTCCCAGTAGCTTGTTTTTATTATGTAGCATTTCAAACATTCAGAAGAATAAATAACACAACGAACTCCTATGTACACATCACCCAGATTTAACTCAGTGATGACACTGGACTGCGTTTTTAGTCTTTCTTTTTCTCCCTCCCTCCCTTATTTTCTCATAAATAAATAGACACAACTGAAAGTCTTTTGTTTCCCCTCCCCATTGCTTTGGCCTCCCTTCCAAGGAGTAACTCTTGCTCTAGGCTTGCTGTATTTCCTTCCCATTTCTACTGGGGGATGCATAGGTTGTTTCCAGATTTCCCTTAATGGAAACAGTGCTGTAATTCATATTCTTGTCTCTCTGTTCACATGCGCTCGAATTTCCTTAGGGTTTTATATGTAGAACTGGAATACCAGGCCCTAAGTTATGCATATCTTCAACATTGCCAAATCACTCTCCATAGCAGTTGAACCATTCACCATGCCACTAGCAGCATGTGAGAGTTCTTGTTTCTTCACCTCCTAGCCCAAAACTGGCAAAGGATAAATGTTTTCATTTTTACTGCTATATATTTAATTACCCTAGCTTTACAGTCAGTCTTGATATTCAGAGAGAAAAGGCTACCCTCTATTTTTCTTCCTTTTTTATGCTAAGCCAGAAGTTCTTAAACTTTTGGTCTCAGGAACCCCTTACATTTTTAGAAATTACTGAAAATTCCAAAGAGTTTTTTAAATGTGGATTATATCCATCAATATTTGCTCTATTAGAAATTAAAAATTAAGATATTTAATGCTTATTTATGAATTCATTTAAAAGTAATATTAGCAAACCCATTACATGTTAATATAACATTTTCAAAATAAAGGTAATAAATTTTCCAAAGCAAACATTTAGAAGAATGGCATTGTTTTACAGTTTTGCCATTTTAAAAAATGCCTGGCTTAATAGAAGATAGCTAGATTATCATATCTGTTTAATTGAAGATAGCTAGAGCCTCCTACCTGCTTCTTCATTCAATCTATCATGATATCACATATTATGTAACCTCTGGAAAACTCCACAGTACACTAATGAGAGAATGAGAGTGAATATGGCAAATAACGTTTCAGCATTATTATGAAAATGGTTTTGACCTCATGGACCCCGTCCTGACCCTTCCCAAAAGGTTCTTGGGAACCCCAAAGAATTTCTAATCACACTTTGAAAAGTGCATTTCTAGACTCTTTTTGGCCCTTTTTCTTCCATGTGAATTATAGGGTCACTTTATGAAGATCAAGGAAATAGATTTCTTAACATATTGGAGTAATTTGTCCTTTAGGGGTTGGTAAAACTTGCCTATAAACATGTCTGGGCCTTGTGTTTCTTTGTGGTAGAACTTGGTGCTCACATTGTTTGGGGACCTGATTTTATTAATATATGATTAAAAATATCAATTGGACTGCTGTTGTTTCCTAAAGTTTTAAAATTTAGTGTACTTTATATACTTTTATAAAACATGTAAAGTTGTTTAAAGTTTTTTTTTGTTTTTGTTTTTGTTTTTTTTTTTTTGAGAAGGAATTTCACTCTGTCACCCATGCTGGAGTGCAGTGGCGTGATCTTGGCTCACTGCAACCTCTGCCTCCCAGGTTCAAGTGATTCTCCTGCCTCAGCCTCCCGAGTAGCTGGGATTACAGGCATGTGCCACCACGCCCGGCTAACTTTTTGTATCTTTAGTAGAGAAAGGGTTTCACCATGTTGGTCAGGCTGGTCTCGAACTGCTGACCTCGTGATTGACCCACCTCGGCCTCCTAAAGTGCTGGGATTACAGGCGTGAGCCACTGTACCTGGCCTAAAGATTTTTAAAAATATGATTTTGAAAAGTAAAAAAGGAGTCAAAGATTGTCTATTTACTTTCACTGACTCCAATGAACACATTTCTGTATTTATTTTACTGACCTCTCAGTTGCATTCAACATACTTACCTACTTACTATATCTTCTGCCACTTTCCATTCTTGCATTTCTTGACATCCCACTCTTCTAATTTTTCCACTACCTTTCTAGACTCTCACTCTACATCCAAATACTGGATTCTAGCTCTTACTCCTGCTTTTTTAAATCTCTCTCTAAACTGTCTCAGTTATCTCATCTCTCCTATTGCTTTAAAAACAACCTAGATGCTGATAACTTCCCTATTTTAATTTTCAATGCAAATCTCTCTTCCGAGTTGTAGACTCATATTTCTACCTGAAATATCAATTTATGTTTCACAGATGTCTCAAACTTAATGAGTACAAAATGTGACTTTTGATTCCCACTCCCCAAAATAGTTCCTCTACTAGCTATGGGTACTGAGCATTCTCCATTTGCACCCTCTATTCTCTCTGTACCTTTCTCCACCCTGCTTTGAGCCCAGGATGCTGCTACCTGTATAGGCTGCATCAGTGGTCAACTTTGGATTTCGGCTTCTATTTCGGGTTTGTTGGTGGTGAGGTCGGGCAGGAGATTGGAGGGCAGGAGGAGAGAAAAGTTGGGGTATTGAGTTCCCTGGCTCCCTTCCTGCCAGCCTTGAGTTGGTAGTGGCTGCATTTCTACATGAAAGTCACAACTTTCATGGAACTTTTTTTTGTTTTCTTTTTTTTAGCTCTGGCTACAACTACAACTCTCAGTTTCAGGAATTGACTACTCCACTTGACCTTTCAGACCTAGGAAGGATAATGGCTCCTTGCATTGGTAGTTCTGGAGTCCTTCACCATCCCTTGTTTGTTTCTCTTAACTCTGTCCACTGCTTTGTAAACAGCGCCTGCCATTAAACTTTCATCAGTGATCTTGTCTGAGTGTACCATCTGTTTCCTGCCAAGATCCTGACTGATGCATCTTCCCAGTTTTGTAGAGCCACCACCTCTCTGATGACTTAAGCCAGAAAACTGGCATCATTGTCCCTTCTATTCACCTTCCACATCCAATCCATCAACCCATCCTGGTGGCACTGCTTCCTACCCACACCTTGAAATAAGCCATGGCTAAGTGTTACAGCAGCCTCTTTACTGTTCTTCCCATTTTCAGCTTTGCCCCATTCAATCTATTCACTGCATGGCAGACAGAGTTATCTTTAAAAATATCTATCGGGCCGTAATTCTTCACTGCTTAAAACACATTAATGGCGTTCTTTTAGTATTTTAGTTCTTTTAGTATTTTAGTTCTTTTAGTTCTTTCTTTTAGTTCTTTTGGATTTTCAGTAAAATCCAAATTCTTGATCATAGGCTTACAAGCCCCCATATGGTCGGATCTCTACTTGCCTCTCCAAATGCACCTCATACCTCACTCCAACTTGCCCTCTGATGTTCCAGGCACACCGTCCCCGCTGTTGTTCCTTAAACATGGAGAACTCATTTACACCCCAGGGCCTTTGCTTGAGCTGTTCACCTTGCAGGGAACTCTCGATCTCCTACACAGAGTACTTATTACTCTGCTTTTCACATGCCCTTCTCATCTTTTAGGTTTCTATTTAAATGTCACCTCTTCAGAGAGGCATTATGAAAATCCTATCAAATCAAGTTTCTCAATCTCACCTTGCCCACACCGCATTATTTTCTATCATTGCATTTGTTAATTCTTTTATAGTTTATTACAACATATAATATCAATAATATGTTATAATATATAACATATCAATAGCTTTTTCTATTTGTTTATATTTTTTACTTTTTTATTTTGTGTCTTCTTCCCTAGACTATAAACTCTTTGATGATAGAGACTTATGACTGTTTTGTCCACCACTGTATATGCAGCTTTTAGTACAGCTTCTATTAGGCTGGCATATGCTGATGTTTTGCATTCAATAAATATTCGTTTAATGAATAGATACTTAGGCAATTTAAGTAAGAAAAAAAAGTAGTGTTTTTTAAAAAGGGTTCACAAAAAAATGGCAATGGAAACTGAAGACAGAATTTTCTTTACAACAACAACAACAATAACAACAAAGACTTACTCTCCCTATATATGTTTTTCCTCTTTTCCCTTGAGAAAATGATCAACATTTAGATGTTCTTAGCCTGTTAAGGATCCAGAAAAACCACTTAGCGGCAGAGAAAATTTCAATTACAAAATGGAGATTAAAATTTCAGTACTTGGGAATAATTATAAAGATGTTTTCCATTATATATGTTCAAGAAAGAAAAAAGAAAGGCATTCAAACTCAATGGAAAAGCATTTCAAATGATAATCAATTTATTATCTTTATTGCAATCACAGGAAAATTATTTCAAAACCTCACATCTTGGGTCTAAGGCCCAAAGACAAATCACTTAATGGCATGGTTAAAACTCAAGAATTCAAAAAAGCCTAGATTGAGCAGGAACATTTTAAAGCATCATGCTATTACCAAAACCATTAAATGAAGGGATAACATTTGGCTAATCATTGAAACACACAGTGATGTTTTCTCTTCTGAGATGCATTTGTTATTTGTACAACTAACTTACCACTTAGAATTCTGAGTCTTTAATTGCAATTATTTTTCATGTATCTGTAGTTTATTCCTTGCTTCTATGTGATAATTTAGAATTCTGAGTCTTTAATTGCAATTATTTTTCATGTATCTGTAGTTTATTCCCTGCTTCTATGTGATAATTTTGTGGCTCAGAATGCATTTTAAAAGTCTTTTTATTCTCTAAATAATCTTCTAGAGGACTGTAGTGAACATCTATTAATTTTATCACCTAGAATCCCTTCACTGTTCTTTAGCTATAACAGTTTACTGTAATTTTCCTCTGGGAAAGCTCCTCAATCACTTCTCCTGAGCATTGTGATTTGAAGAGCTTACTCCCACCTCTAGTTTAAAACAGCAAGCATATTTACTCTTCCAGGAAGGGTAATTGGATGGCACATGATTTCACATCAGGAAATGTTTTAAAACTGTTCTGGGAGGAACATTGTATTTTTCCCACTGGGTCTGAATGATGAAGTATGTTGGAACCCATCTTGGAAGCAATCACAAGAGAGATTCTTTCCGAGGAGGAGCCAACACCAAAAAATAAAAACACAGAAACAGTCCTGGTCACGTTGAGTCTTATGTCATACATCTGAAAAGAGTTAATTCTTGGACTCTTAAATTGCATTAGCAAGTAAACTCATTTTTTAAAAAAAGACCATTTTAGATTTATAGGTCTCTCACTTGCAACCAGAATAATTCCTGTACACAGTAGGCATTTGATTAATGTTGTTGATTAATTTGCACAAGTTTCCTCTTTATTTCCAGCCCTCTTACAAAAATATTGAAAGACCCTCTTGATTTGATTAAATGGAAAAACAAATCTGTGTCATGATGAATGTTCTTTAGTTTTTCTGGATCAAACATCTCCGTTTGAAACACCAAAATTTACTGATTAATATACTGCTATTTCCAGGCCATTCTTGATGTATGGGAAACTTTCCCTCTCATATTTACAAAAACAAATAAGGAATCTTTAATTTTTTTTTTTTTTTTGAGACAGTCTCACACTGTTGCCCAGGCTGGAGAGGAGTGGCACAATCTTGGCTCACTGCAACCTCTGCCTCCCGGGTTCAAGCAATTCTCATGCCTCAGATGCTCGAGTAGCTGGGACTACAAGCATCCACCACCACACCCAGCTAATTTTTTATATTTTAGTAGAGATGGAGTTTCACCATGTTGGCCAGGCTGGTTTTGAACTTCTGAGCTCAGGCAATCCGTCTGCCCGGGCCTCCCAAAGCACTAGGATTATAGGCGTGAGCCACCACGTCTGGCCCCAATTTTATACTCATTTAAAATTAGAACGCATAACGCCGCATATCTACAACTATCTGATCTTTGACAAACCTGAGAAAAACAAGCAATGGGGAAAGGATTCCCTATTTAATAAATGGTGCTGGGAAAACTGGCTAGCCATATGTAGAAAGCTGAAACTGGATCCCTTCCTTACACCTTATACAAAAATCAATTCAAGATGGATTAAAGATTTAAACGTTAGACCTAAAACCATAAAAACCCTAGAAGAAAACCTAGGCATTACCATTCAGGACATAGGCATGGGCAAGGACTTCATGTCCAAAACACCAAAAGCAATGGCAACAAAAGCCAAAATTGACAAATGGGATCTAATTAAACTAAAGAGCTTCTGCACAGCAAAAGAAACTACCATCAGAGTGAACAGGCAACCTACAAAATGGGAGAAAATTTTCGCAACCTACTCATCTGACAAAGGGCTAATATCCAGAATCTACAATGAACTCCAACAAATTTACAAGAAAAAAACAAACAACCCCATCAAAAAGTGGGCGAAGGACATGAACAGACACTTCTCAAAAGAAGACATTTATGCAGCCAAAAAACACATGAATAAATGCTCATCATCACTGGCCATCAGAGAAATGCAAATCAAAACCACAATGAGATACCATCTCACACCAGTTAGAATGGCGGTCATTAAAAAGTCAGGAAACAACAGGTGCTGGAGAGGATGTGGAGAAATAGGAACACTTTTACACTGTTGGTGGGACTGTAAACTAGTTCAACCATTGTGGAAGTCAGTGTGGCGATTCCTCAGGGATCTAGAACTAGAAATACCATTTGACCCAGCCATCCCATTACTGGATATATACCCAAAGGACTCTAAATCATGCTGCTATAAAGACACATGCACACATACGTTTATTGCGGCATTATTCACAATAGCAAAGACTTGGAAGCAACCCAAATGTCCAACAATGATAGACTGGATTAAGAAAATGTGACACATATACACCATGGAATACTATGCAGCCATAAAAAATGATGAGTTCGTGTCCTTTGTAGGGACATGGATGAAATTGGAAATCATCATTCTCAGTAAACTATCGCAAGAACAAAAAACCAAACACCGCATATTCTCACTCATAGGTGGGAATTGAACAATGAGATCACATGGACACAGGAAGGGGAATATCACACTCTGGGGACTGTGGTGGGGTGGGGGGAGGGGGGAGGGATAGCATTGGGAGATATACCTAATGCTAGATGACGAGTTAGTGGGTGCAGCGCACCAGCATGGCACATGTATACATATGTAACTAACCTGCACAATGTGCACAGGTACCCTAAAACTTAAAGTATAATAAAAAAAAAAAAAGAAAAGAAAAATAAAATAAAATAAAATAAAATAAAATAAAATAAAATTAGAACGCATTTCTTTATTCTGAAGAAAGCATTTCCTTGTTTTTGTCAACAACAAAGAAATGCATTCTCAGAATAAAAACCTGTAATCAAACAGGTCAATTTAGTTTAATGTTGTACCTAATAAAGGAGTTTAAAACCATTTAAAAAGTAGACATAATTTTCCAGAATTTAAGCATGACAAATACTTTTGTTTAAAACTAAATGATTCAGCCCAGTGCGGTGGCTCAGGCCTGTAATCCCAGCTCTTTGGGAGGGAGAAGCACTTGAACTCAGGTGGCAGAGGTTGCAGTGAGCCATGATGGCGCCACTGCACTCCAGCCTGGGTGACAGAGTGAGACCCTGTCTCAATCAATCAATTAATCAATCAATAGAATTAAGTTATTCAGATGTATAAACAGAAAATGGAAATCACTTATAATCTCATTCCTAGAAATAATAGCTGATATTTCAAAGCATATTGTTCTAAATACTTTCTATTCATAGTTTTTTTGTTAAATGTCAAAAAATAGAAATATCCTATTATTCTAATCATCATTTAATAACAGTGACAATAGTGTGGCAGTCTTTCCATGTCAGCATAAATAAATATCATTTTGAATGAGTGCTCAGTACTCCGTTGCATGGATATACCATAATATTTTTTAAAAACACATCGCTTGTTGAAGAACATTCACATTGATTCTCTAACATTAGTGTTATAAATGAGGTTAATAAATCATCACATATTTATATAATTTTTTTTAGAATACTATCCAAGAAGAGTAATAGCTGGCACATTTGAAAATTTAATACATATTGCCAAATTGTCTTCTAAAAAAGTTGCACCTTCCAGCTTTCCATATAATTACAAACTCTGTGAATGAACATCCTTGTTTATTTTCATCCATCTATTAGACAATAAATGGTCCGACTTTGCTGGTTTAGTTTTAATTTCTTTGACAATTAATGAGTGAATCTTTTTTATGAGTGAACTGGAAAAACACCCAAAAACTTAAGGCAATGATTCATTACTCAAGTCAGCCAAGTGGTTCTGACTTGGTCTGTGTTGCCTGGGCTCACTAGTGAGTCTTCGGCTTGCTGCAGGCAGGCCAGATACTTTTGCTTCCAGAACTGGCTGTGAGCAAGCTGGGGCACCTTGGTTTTCTTCCACATGGCTCCCAGCATCATCAGAAAAAGTCCAAGCTGGTTTAATGGTAGTGGCATGGTTCCAGGAGAATGAACAGAATGTGCAAAGCCTCTTGATACTAGACTTGGAACTGACACAATATCCCATGCGCTTCATTCTGCTTGTCAAAGTAAGTCACAAGGCTAGTTGAGATACAATGGGTGGGGAAAAACACACGCACACAAAACAAAAAACTACACCTCTGTTGCCAGGAGCTACAAACTCACACTGCAAAAGGGCATAGATGCAGGGAGAAAATAATTTGAGCTGTGTTTTCAAACCATTTACCACCATATGTTTTCTTTAGATCAGTAAGTAGACCAAAAGTCTCATTAAGCACCCTTTCTTTCTAAAAAAAATTATTTCCACAGGTTATTGGACAACAGGTGGTGCTTGGTTACATGAATAAGTTCTACGGTGGTGATTTGTGAGATTTTGGCACACCTATCACCCAAGCAGTATACACTGCACCCAATTTGTGATCTTTTATCCCTCACCTCCTTCCAACCCTTTCCCCCTGAGTCTCCAAAATCCATTGTGTCTTTCTTATGCCTTTGCATCCTCATAGCTTAGCCTACACACATGAGTGAGAACATATGATGTTTGTTTTTCCATTCTTGAGTTACTTCACTTAGAATAATAGCCTCCAAACTCATCCAGGTCACTGTGAATGCCATTAACTCATTCCTTTTTATGGCTGAGTAGTATTCCATCGTGTGTGTGTGTGTATGTGTGTGTGTATGTGTATCTATATATATCTCACAGTTTCTTTATCCATTCATTGATTGATGGGATGGGCATTTTAGTTGGTTCCACGGTTTTGCAATTGCAAATTGTGCTGCTATAAACATGCATGCACAAGTATCTTTTTCATATAGTGACTTCTTTTCCTCTTGGTAGATACCCAGCAGTGAGATTGCTGGATCAAATGGTAGATCTACTTTTAGTTCTTTAAGGAATCTCCACACTGTTTTCCATAGTGATTGTACTAGTTTACATTCCCACCAACAGTGTAGAAGTGTTCCCTGTTCACTGCATCCATGCCAACATCTATTATTTATTTATTTATTTTTTTGTTTTGTTTTGTTTTTGAGACAGAGTCTTGCTCTGTTGCCCAGGCTGGAGTGCAGTGGCACAATCTCGGCTCACTGCAACCTCCGCGTCCCAGGTTCAAGCAATTCTCCTTCCTCAGTCTCCTGAGTAGCTGGAATTACAGGCGTGCACCACCATGCCTGCCTAATTTTTGTATTTTTTAGTAGAGACAGGAAAGAGTTTCACCATATTGGTCAGGCTAGTCTCAAATTCCTGACCTCAGGTGATCCACCCACCTCGGCTTCCCAAAGTGCTGGGATTACAGGTGTGGGCCACCATGCCAGGCCTATTTTTTGATTTTTTGGTTATGGCCATTCTTCCAGGAGTAAGGTGGTATCGCATCGTGGTTTTGATTTGCATTTCCCTGATTATTAGTGATGTCGAGCATTTTTTCATATGTTTGTTGGCCATTTGTATATCCTCTTCTGAGAAATGTCTATTCATGTCCTTAGCCCACTTTTTGATGGGACTGTTTGGTTTTTTCTTGCTAATTTGTTTGAGTTCATTGTAGATTCTGGGTATTAGTCCTTTGTCAGGTGTATGGATTGTGAAGATTTTCTCCCACTCTGTGGGTTGTCTGTTTACTCTGCTGACTGTTCCTTTTGCTGTGCAAATGCTCTTTGGTTTAATTAAGTCTAAACTATTTATCTTTGTTTTTACTGCATTTGCTTAAATGGGTTCTTGGTCATGAAATCCTTGCCTAAGCCAATGTCTAGAAGAGTTTTTCCTATGTTGTCTCTAGAAGTTTTATAGTTTCAGGTCTTAGATTTAAATTCCTGATCCATCTTGAGTTGATTTTTGTATAACCTAAGAGATGTGGATCCAGTTTCATTCTTCCACATGTGACTTGCCATTTTTCCCAGCATCATTTGTTGAATAGGGTGTCTTTCCCCTACTTTACGTTTTTGTTTACTTTGTTGAAGATCAGTTGGCTGTAAGTATTAGGGTTTATTTCTTGGTTCTCTATTCTGTTCCATTGGTCTATGTGCCTATTTTTATGCCAGTATGATACTGTTTTGGTGACTATGGCCTTATAGTATACTTTGAAATCAGGTAATGTGATGTCTCCAGATTTGTTCTTTTTGCTTAATCTTGCTTTGGCTGTGCGGGCTCTTTTTTGGTTCCATATGAATTTTAGGATTTTTTTTTTCTAATTCTGTGAAGAATGATAGTGATATTTGGAGGGGAATTGCATTGAATTGTAGATTGCTTTTGGCAGTATGGTCCGTTTCACAATATTGATTCTACCTATCCACGAGCATGAGCTTGGGGTGTGTTTCCATTTGTTTGTGTTGTCTATGATTTCTTTCAGCAGTGTTTTGTAGTTTTCCTTAAAGATGCCCACTGTCACCACTCCTCTTCAACATAGTACTAGAAGTCCTAGCCAGAGCAATCAGACAAGAGAAAGAAAAAAAGGGCATCCAAATTGGTAAAGAGGAAGTCAAACTGTTGCTGTTTGCCGATGATATGATTGTTTAGCTAGAAAACCCTAAAGGCTCCTTCAGAAAGCTCCTGGAACTGATAAAATAATTCTGCAAAGTTTCTGGATACAAAATCAATGTACACAAATCAGTAGCTCTTCTATACACCAACAGCGACCAAGCTGAGAATGAAATCAACAACTCAGGCCGGGCATTGTCTCTCATGCCTGTAATCTCAGCACTTTGGGAGGCTGAGGTGAGCAGATCACCTGAGGTCAGGAGTTTGAGACCAGTCTGGCCAACACGGTGAAACCCTGTCTCTACTAAAAATACAAAAATTAGCGGGGCTGTGATGGCGTGCCTGTAATCGCAGCTACTTGGGAGGCTGAGGCAGGAGAATCACTTGAACCCGGGAGGCAGAGGTTGCAGTGAGCTGAGATCGTGCCACTGCACTCCAGCCTGGGTAACAGAGCGAGGCTCCATCTCAAAACAACAACAACAACAAAACAACAAAAAAAGCCCACAAAAATCAGTAACTCAACCCCTTTTACAATAGCTGCAAAAAAAAAAAAAAAAAAGGAATATACCTAATCATTAAGCACTTTGGAAACAAATTAATATTTTGGAAAGTATTCAGATTTTTTTCCTCTATGTGAAAGGTAAATCATGATAAATTTATTTCTTCTTTTGTCTCTTGGGTCAAGAAAAGCACTAATTTAATGTCTTCTATTAGCTGTATCTTTTTTTCTGTCACCCCAGTTTTCATTTCAGGTTAATTGAAGTGTGGGTTTTCCAAATTGGTTTTTGCTTAGGCTCACTAAAGTTGATCCATTAGCTCTGAATTTCTTTCTATACATACTTCGAAAGCTAGAGTTATTGAAAGGAGTAATTTTTTCCATTTAAATGTACTTTGCTTATTATTTCCCAGGTTCTGATAGCAATATACTGCTCAGTGGGAAAAGATTTCTCCTGTGATTGACTGTTCCTAGCACTGTGTTTAGGAAATTTCTTTCAAATTTTTCTCTTAATATTTTTCTAGTGCTGAGATCCTGTGGTTTGAAGGACTTTTATTTCAGAGACATAGGCCATGCTTAGTGGAGACTCATTCACAATGGAAACAAAGCTTAGATGCTGATTATCCAAATACCCCATTTTGAATATGAGACTTCTTACTGAAAGGACAATTTGGAGAGATATATGGTCAAATGACTAGGCTAAATTTATCTATATTCATTTCCTAAACAATGTAGGTAAATTGCACATTTTAAAATATTCCAGCATCTCAAAACATGGCACCTACCATCAATATTTCTAATAATCATTCACTTGTTCAGCACATATACAGCACTTAACCACATGAATGCTTTGTAAAAGTCTAGGGGAACATGAGAAATAAGTCAGACACAGTCCCTGTTGTCCCCGTTTACAATCTACTGTGAGACACAGATAATTAAGAAGGTGATTATAATCATGTGGGAAAAGCAGTTCTTACTGTAGATTCAGACAAGAGATTCTAGATTTTCAAGGGATCTACATCTCAAACCCAAAGAAGTAAATCCCTCAAAGCATAATGGGGCAGGGCAAGATGGCTCAAGCCTGTTATCCCAGCACTTTGGGAAGCCGAGGCAGGTGGATCACCTGAGGTCAGGAGTTCGAGGCCAGCCTGGTCAACATGGTGACCAGGTCTCTACTAAAAATACAAAAATTAGCCGGGCCTGGTGGTACACACCTGCAATTCCAGCTACTTAGGAGACTGAGGCAGGAGAATTGCTTGAACCTGGGTGGTAGAGGTTGCAGTGAGCCGAGATTGCACCACTGCACTCCAGCCTGGGCGACAGAGCAAGACTCCGTCTCAAAAAAAAGAAAAGCAAAGAGAAAATAAATTGACCTCAGGTAAGGAGAGATGATATGCAAAAGGATTATTGCAACAAGGGTGGGGAGACTCTTGCTCTAGGAAAGGAAACTGCAGCATTAGGGAAGGAGACTATAGCAATGCAGAGAGTGCCATAACCATGGGATCAGTGTGCATCTCTGAGGTCAGCAGAAAAAGGTCTTTCTTTCATAAGGAGTAGAGAAGCCTACCAAGAAGCATGTGGGGGAGTGGGATGAGGCAGTGGCATGATCAAACAGTGGCTCAGTCTCTGTTTGTGGCCATTGCATTCTCTGGAGCAGGTCTTATAGAGAGGCTGTTCTGCATTCCTACATGCAAGAAAGGACCAAAGTCCAGGGGCCTGGGGGAAGGTGAGGAGCCTGAGCAGAGTTTGGTCAAGTCACATTGATGGCATTTTGTCCACACTGGCCAGTGGGGACCAATGGCTAATCATTCATGAGACACAGAATGGGAATTGGAAGGTCCGTGTCTGACCTTGTCATAGGTAAACAAGGAGGTCATCGGTGGGTTTTATCTAAATCTTATGGGGAAGGGGAATTCCTTGCAAGAAGTCATGTTTTGGAACACTGAAGGTGTGTGTTGGGAAGGGCTAGTTTTGTAATCTCCCCTGTTTTCAAGAGGCACAGGACTTGGGGAAAGTTCAGTACCACCAGTGCCTCTGACACAAAGTCACCTATAACCTTGAACACCAGGTGTTAGGATGAATGGAGTCCATGGTAAGTGCCATGACAAAAAGCCATCAGCCAGTAGTGTTGACATTACCTGGAGTCTTGCTAAAAATGCAGATTCTCAGACCTGTTGAATCAGAATCTTCATTTACAGTTGAGTCCCGGGATGATCCATCCACAGGTGAAAGTTTTGAAGCACAGCTCTGGGGAAGTCAGGAAAGCATCACTAGAAGAAATGATCCCCTAGTTAACTAATTCTCTTTCTCTGGTAATGCTCTGATTTGAATGTTCACACATTCATTCATTTATAAAAACTAATTGTTTTTCCAAGAAAGTTGTATTAGTATCTACATGTTTTAGTTATATATTGTTCTGTAAACTACCCCTGAATTTAGTGGCTTAAAACAACAACAAGCATTTATTATTCTCACAGTTTCTGTGGGTCAAGAATTTAGGAACAGCTTAGTTGGGTGGTTTGCAGTCAAGATATCAGCCATGGCTGAAATCAACTGAAGACCTGGCTGCAACTGGAGGACTCAAGGTGGTCCATTCCCATAGCTGGCAAGTTGGTTCTTCTCCATGCTACGCTGTCTATCCTGGGGCTTCTCCATTGGGCTGCTTGGGTGTTCTCACAACATGGCAACTAGCCTACCCCAGAGAAAGAGCCAGAGAAAAGCTGTCCTTTTTATGACATAGCCTTGGATGTCACATGGAATCACTTCCAAAACAATGTATTCATTTGAAGCAAGTTATTAAGTCCAGCCCACTTTGGGAGGATGGAGAGAATTACGCTCCAACTTTTTTTTTTTTTTTTAAACAAGGGAAAGCATGAACGCAGTCTCCCACTGCCACACATTATGCAATTGAGTTTCCTACATTTGAGGAAATTGCAGTGGTCAGCACATTTGGAGTGCAATGGATGAGCCTTGCCCTGGGAAAACCATCTTTGTGATCATGGATCATGGTATCTCCCCTCCCAGGTAAGTATAGGCTCCAACTTTTAAAGGAAAGAATATCACTGGAGTTCCAGACATTACACAGCATTGTACAGGTGGGCTTTGTAAAAGTCAATGATGTTTATCAATTTAATTTATTTGACATTTTGCTGCTGAAGACAGATAACTGATTCTGTTTTTCAGTCTCCAAAACTTACAAGAACATGCTTCATGCTATTTTAATAAGACAGAACATTTCAATTATCAGAATACTTTTGGAGAAAACTGTAGTTGTTTGTGAAACTGTAATTCAAAGGTGGTAAGATAGAACTTTCGTAGGTGACAGGAGGATGACTTTGCAGTTTGCTTTGTGGCATGTGGAGGTGGGAGGGACAAGAAAGAAACATAAAGAGTGGAGGGTAGAAGCCAAGAGATAGTGGAAAATCACGTGTTCTGTCCTGGTACTCCTCGCTGCTCTCCAGATTTTTAGTAAAGTTGTTGAGCTCATGTACAAGGCGAGTGGTGCTTTTTTTCAGACTGTGGTGGGGCTAGGCTGTATATCTGGACTGAGTCGAACCAAACTAAGAAACACATGCAGATATGGAAGACCAACAGAGAGAAGCAAGAGGAAGTAAAGTCAGAGGAGTTTGCAAAATGGGGGTGAGAGGTAAGGTTGACCATGGTGGGTGGTGAAGGAAGCCTCTCAAAGGCCACGGAATAGACGACTGCAGTCATTTTTAGCTAGGTCTCCAAGGGACAGAGGGACCTTAGTTGACATGTGGATGGCACTTGATTTCTGGCAATTCTTCTCTTTTGCTGAGTAAACAGCATGATCAGAATATTATTTACTGAATTTCAGCTTTTGATGCTATTTTAAAATAACATTAGGAAGTAACTATGAAAAATATCTCAAGTTAGAAGAAAATTTTTATTCATTTATTTAGGTTTGGAGTGGCAAGGCGTAGAGCTTGAAATGTAATTTCACTTACCAGCAACATGTTTACATTGCTGCCTTAATGCTCCCTCTGGAATCAGAATAATCTCCAGCATTTAGGGACCTCCTAGTTTATAAATGCTGTGGTCCTTTTTTTTCTGTTTCAGAAGCACACTCTTTTAATCTTATAAAATCCTGGCCAGGAATGAATGAATTATCTAAAACAAACGGTCAATGTGACCTTTTATCTTGCTTAATAGTTTGAAAATCTGTTTTGCAAAGCAAAATGACTTTCCTCAAAAAGCTTTTCCTGTATTTGGGGTTATAAACACATATTTTTTGAGAAGACAGTACATTTCCCTGAATTTCGTCTTCTAAAGGCTTAAATAATTTTCATAGTAAAACAAAATTGCCTCAAGTGCTATTACCTCCCTCTCCTAGACACCCATTAATGTAAAATAAAACTAATCTATAATAAATGCTTGTTCTAAGAACGCTTGGCAGAAGCCAGGTAAAATTTAACATTCTGTACAGCATTTGGTGACGAAGGACACACTATTATTGTTTTGAAGCATTGCAGAAATTCTTTTTAAGCAAATCTTAGCTTTTAAAATTGAAGCTTAGAATTTTGCTCAGCCCATTTTGTTTCCTAGGTCCCAGATATTGGGCATCTGCAAACTCAAAATTGATAAAGTTAGGCATACAGAGACAGAATATTTCTAGTTTATAAATAAAAGCAAGTTTTGCTCAACCCAATAAGAGTACTCCTAAAAAAATTAGTAAAGGAAATAAATAAAAATGTATAATAAATTATTCAATAAAACCAAATCTAATGCATCCAAAGAGTTCACAGTCTAAATTCCTGGAGGGAAGAGATGGGTGGGTGGGCTTTAAATCTCAAATGATTTTATTTCTTCCAATCCCTGTATTCATCTGTGCTTTGCCAAATTCTGCTTTCATGCTTCTTAATGACCTTTCAGCCCCATTTTATAAATGGTCCAGCTGAACATTTTGATCTTATCACCAACTTACTGCTCCAACCCAGAATGGAAGCCAATCTCTCCCTTTTTCTGGCACCAGTAGTCTCTGTAGGTAACTTTTCTAGAATAGAGGTCAGAAAACGTTTTTTGTGAAGGAACGGTTAGTAAACATTTTCAGCTTTGTGAGCCATATGGTCTCTGTTTTGACTATTCAGCTTTGAAGTTGTAGTGAGACAGCAGCCACAGACAATATGAAAATGAATGGGCATGGCTGTGTTCCAATAAAACTCTGCACTTGGTCTTAGCCAAAAGGCCGAGAAGTGATTCCAATAAAACTTTATTTACAAAAATAGATGGTGGGCTGGATTTGGCCCACAGGCTGATGTGAAAGTTGTCAGAATCAAAATAGAGTCACTTGTGACAACTGGAACTGGGAAAGGCCATAATGGGGGATTTCTCAAGCTTGTATGCCTGATAATAAGAACTATCACAAACAAACTCTGCAAAAAAGCACAACCTTGCACAAAGGCCACCAAAACCTTACAGAGAAAATACTTCTGCAAGGACATCTGTCCAGCAACTGCTTGTCCAACCTTGGACTGACACCACCCTTGTTATTGATCCTTACAGCCAAGGATAATTGATTCAAAACAACTTATGTAATTCTTTTCATTTTGCCTTCAAAAACTGTCCCTTGCCTCAACCTTCCTGATGATCTGCATAGTTTACTCTGGCACGTGTATTTCCATTGCAAAGCCATTCCCAAGTAAATATCATTTTCTTTTAGAGTCTCCTTCTCAGTCTGTTATGAAGGTTTGACACTGCATGTCCTACAGCATGTCCCCATTTGGTTTGACCTAGGAGCTGGAGGAACTATTCCATGGTGAGGAGAGAGAGAAAGCCCAGCTGTCTTCACGAAGCCATGGATGTTTCTCCTCTCTCTCCCATCATCCTCCTCCTCATCCCACTCTGAGTTTTCTGCTCATGTTGATTGTGGAGGAGCATGGTAGAATGGAGGTTCAGTGAGGGGAGCAGAATTGATTGGAATATCTCTCAGAGAGCCCTCCTGTAGATGACACCAGCTCCACTGTTTGCAATTCTTTGGGAGTGCAGGGAACTGGAGGCTCCTTTCTGTCAGTTTTAGACCCAAGCCTTGAGCATAAAAGAGCCCTGCTCTACCTTCTGTGACATTCTTTACCACCGGGTTTTATTCCGTGGATCAGTGATTGTAAGGATGGATACAGTTCAGGAATATAGAAATACAGTAGTAGTTCATCAGTGACAGCTGTTCGTTGACATTGTCCCAATCTCCGTCTGTCACATTCTTGACAAAATTCCAGGACTTTCTACACATTCTAGTGTTGCCTAAAATACGAAGTGTTTAAAAATGTTGTTCATGTTTCTTTTGCTTTACTGAGATAGAGGTTTTTTTTTTTTTTGTCGTTGTTGTTGTTCTTTTGTTTGTTTGTTTAATTTTTGTATGTTTTCAGTTAACTTTAGCTTTCCAGGCTGGAGTGCAGTGGCACAATCATAGCTCACTGCAGCTTTGACCTCCCAGGCTCAAAAGATCCTCCTGTCTCAGCCTCCCTAGTAGCTGGGACTATGCCACCATGCCTGGCTAAGATTTTTGAGATGAGGTCTCACTGTGTTGCCCAAGCTGGTCTCAAACTCCTGGGCTCAAGCAATCCTCCCATCTGTGAAAGCTCTGAGATTACAAGTGTGAGCCACCACACCCAGCTGGCTTGACATTTTTGAGTCTTCTCTTCTATCCCTTCTGACCCTTAATGAGCATTCTTCTCTTCCTTAATCTGTTTTATTTCAAATACTTTATTTTTATGGCCTCCATAATAACACCTATTAGACTACTTTTGTGATTGTACTTTCTCTAAAGGCATATTTTCCCATCAGCCTAAGAATAACTTCCTTTAGAAATGATTCTTTCCCTTCTCCTGTCTCACTTGGATGTATCCCATGGCCTCACCTGCTGACCCTGGATGCTCTGCTCTCCTCCTTGACTTAAATGAATTTTCAGCTCCTGCTATAAGCCACACTGTTCCACATCCTGGAGCTACAAAGTTGTAGCTTCTGCCTTCAAGGAGCTCACAGTGCAGAGAAGTGAGAAGACAAACATAAAAATAAGCCAGTGACACCAGGGCAATTCACTCTCTTTGGTGGACTGTAGACACTCATGTCTGTAAACTGGGCATACTCTCAGTTGTATGGGAAAGGTTTGGGCTGTGGTACATTATTGCACTCCAAGACAAGGACAGAGGAGTGGCACCTCTTAAACATGGAATACAGTTTAAGCCAAGGTACTGTTAACTTGTGGCTCATGGTTCAAACCATTCATACCATGGTCATGAAATGTACTCACCCTCCCACCCCACCAAAAGGGCAAAGCTCTCTTGCTATGGGGCTATGCTGCCCCTGTTGGGCCCACTGCAATGAAGAATTTAAATGGAAAATGATCAGGGTCATGTTGTTCCTAACAGATTCCAGATTCTTCTGATTACCCTATACTAGATCTTATGGGGGAAAAACCCAAAGATCCTGCCTTCAAATTGCATATGGTCTGTTTAGTAGAAAGGATAGTGAGGAGACACAGAGAAGAAACAACCAAATAATTTCTATAGAACAACATATCAGTCAGCACAAATGAGTCTAGCAGAGTGCCCACTGAGAGAACACAGAAGATGAGAGAATAAACAAAGATGGTCGTGGTTGCCTTCCAAAGGAGGAGAGTTTTGAGAATTTAATTTGTTTCCAATCTTTGCTATTATAAGATATATATTATGATGAACCTGTTGATTCATAAATCTCTTACTATATTTTGGATAATTTTCTCAGGACAAATGCTCCCAAATAGAATTACTAAGTTAAACAGATACCAAGGAAATAAACATTTTTAAAGAGATTTTGATATATTGCCAGATAGATTCCAATTGCTGTCTAGAAAGATTATATAAATGTATGCTCCTCACCCCCCAGCAGTGTATAAGCGTATCCATCTCACAAAAACTTGGAAGCATCAATAATTACGATTTTTTAAAATCTCTAATAAAGCAAGTGAAAATATCTAATTTTTTTCTATGCATTTCCTTTGTACTAGTGATGTTGAACATTTTATCGTATGTTTATGAGTCATTGTTGTATCCTCTTTTACCAGCTAGCTGTCTTTTTTGTCTTTTGCTCCATGGATCCTCTGTAGATGAGTCATATAATAGCAGTAGAACAGCATCCAAATCAATATGCTAGGTTATTTTGTAACTTTAGACTGATAAGGCATTCAGAGTTGAAAGGTGTGGTTCTTAATACAGCTCAAGGAAGTTATGTCCAGATAAACACTCTCAGGTCAGGAGACAATTCCGTAAGGAGTATGTTAGAGTTCTACTAGAAACACAGCGAGGGTTACAAGTATCAGCTGCTGCCTGAGGTATGTATATATGTTATCCCCAATTTTGACCAAAACATTTGATGAATAAAGGGGAACAGCAATGAGATACCATCTCACATCAGTTAGAATGGCTATTATTAAAAAGTAAAAAAATAACATGTTGCACGGTTGCAGAGAAAAGGGACTGCTTATACACTGTTGGTGGGAATGAAAATTAGTTCAGTGCCCTGTGGAAAAGAGCTTGGAGATTTCTTAAAGAACTAAACACAGAATTACCATTCCACCCAGCAATTCAACGTTACTAGGTATAGCCCCAAAGGAAAATAAATTGTTCTATCAAAATGATAACTGCACTTGTTGGCCGGGCTAGGTGGCTTATGCCTGTAATCCCAGCACTTTGGGAGGCCGAGGCAGGCGGATCATGAGGTCAGGAGTTCGAGACCAGCCTGGCCAAGATGGTGAAACCCTGTTTCTATTAAAAAATACAAAAATTAGCTGGGCGCAGTGGCACATGCCTGTAGCCCCAGCTACTCGAGAGGCTGAGGCAGAAGAATTGCTTGAACCCGGGAGGTGAAGGTTGCAGTGAGCCAAGATAGCGCCACTGCACTCCAGCCTGGGCAACAGAGTGAGACTCTGTCTCACAAAAAAAAAAAAAGATACTTCCACTTGTATGTTCACTGCAGCACTACTCACAATGCAAAGAAATGGACTCAACCTAGATGCCCATCAATGGTGTATTGAATAAAGAAAATGTGGTACATATGCAATATGGAATACAATGCAGCCATAACAAAGAATGAAATCATATTATTTGCAGCAACATGGATGCAGCTGGAGGCCATAATCCTAGGTGAATTACAGAGAAAACGGAAAACCAAATACTCCAACACGTTCTCACTTATAAGTGGGAGCTGAACATCGGGTACACACAGACACAAAGATGGGAACAATAAACACTGAGGATTCCAAAAGAGTGGAAGGAGGTGGGGGCAAGGGTTGAATCCTACCTATTAGGTACTGTGTTCACTTGGACACTAGAAACCCAAACCTCAGCATCACATAATATACCCATGTAACAAGCCTGCACATGTACTCCCTTAATCTAAATTTTAAAAAGTAAAAAAAAAAAAAAAAAAAAAAGACTAGTAGAATCAACAAAGTGCATTCTAGTATAAAATGATACAGGTCTGTATGCAATTGTGGTTGAGCTCATCTTGCAATCTCAATTTGGAGGAAAAAAAGGAAGAATTTGGAATTGATTTCTTAGCCTCATAACATATTAAAACTGGGTACATTTTTACAAACTTAGCTTCCTGCCAAATCTTGAAATTAGCCTAGATTAACAATTAAGTTAGTTTTCTAGATATTTAGATTTTCCCATTGAAGATATACAGATGTGAAAAATATTTATTTTTTATTTTGTAGAACAAAAGAAGAAAAATGTGTTTGGATTACCAGATCCCTGACCCTCTGTGTTTGCTGTTGTTGATTATTAAGGCATTTTCATATAGGCTTAGATTATTTAAATATCACAGCTATATGCATAAGTATCAGTCATAGTTCTGCTTTTTTCTTATTAATAATTTTTAATTAAAAGAAATATAGAATTTAGCATGAAAAAACAAAAGGATGTAGAGTCTAGGCAGAAAATATCTCTAAGGGTCATGAAATGCGACATTGTAGAAACAAATCTAACACACACAAAAATGAGTATGTGGAAATGAGTTTTAGAATATGGCATATGATTCAGGTTCTTCTTCTGACTTTGTCTGATGGGGTGACATCAAAAGGTGATCGTTTTAATATTTCGTCATCTCTGCATTTATTTTGTTTTGTATATTTTAACAAGTGCTTTCAGGCTGCAGGTATCTGTTGGAAATATTTAGCTCTCTTCCAGCTAAATGAATAAATAATGATGCTATGCCCTTTGCATTCAAATGAAAGGTTATAAACCACTCTCAGTAGGGTCTGGCTTTGAGTCATTTGGCCAAGGAAAATGACAGGTTCTAATATGGAACACTTCATACTGTCTTTGAAAAACCCATGAATGTCAAGAAAGTGGCTCAGGATTTACTGTGGAGGAGGGCTGTGTGTGATGCAGAAAAGGCCGTGAGAAAGGACAAAGAGATTAGGGCTCATGGTCATCTGTATTGGCTCCATTTCCGATGTGTTCTAATATTGGAATCCTGTGCAAAGTTTGTTTGAAAATAGATATATGATTTTGCAAAAAAAAAATTGGGGGGCTGGGTGCAGTGGCTCATGCCTGTAATCCCAGCACTTTGGAGGCCAAGGCAAGCAGATCACCAGAGATCAGGTGCTGAGAACAGGCCCTCCAAATCTGGCCATAAACAGGCCCCAAAACTGGCCATAAACAAAATTTCTGCAGCACTGTGACATGCTCATGATGGCTATGATGCCCACGCTGAAGATTGTTGTTGGTTTACTGGAATGAGATCAAGGAACACCTGGCCCACCCTGGGTGGAAAACCACTTAAGGTGTTCCTGAACCACAAACAATAACATGAGCGATCTGTGCCTTAAGGACATGCTCCTGCTGCAGATAACTAGCCAGAGGCCATCCCTTTGTTTCCCATTTTAGTTAATCTGTAATCTATAGAAACAATGCTTATCACTGGTTTGCTGTCAGTATATATGTGGGTAAAACTCTGCTCATGGCTCTCAGCTCTGAAGGCTGTCAGCCCCCTGAATCCCACTCTGCACTCTATATTTCTCTCTGTGTGTGTTTAATTCCTCTAGTGCTGCTGGGTTAGGGTCTCCATGACCAAGCTGGTCTTGGCAATCAGGAGTTCCAGGACAGCCTGTCCAACATGGTGAAACCCCATATCTACTAAAAATACAAAAAAAAAAAAAATTAGCTGGGCATGGTGGTGTGTGCCTGTAATCCTAGCTACTTGGGAGGCTGAGGCAAGAGAATCGCTTGAACCCAGGAGGTGGAGGTTGCAGTGAGCCAAGATCCTGCCATTGCACTCCATCCTGGGTGACAGAGTAAGACTCCATCTCAAAAAAAAAAAAAATTTTCTTTTTCAAACTACACCTCTTATTCCATAATCTTCATTCCACTGTACAGACATACCATCGTTTATCCAGTCTCCTGTTTATGTACATTTGGGCTGCTTCCAACTTTTCAGTATTATAAATATATCTTCTTTGAACTTTGTTGTAGAAGTCATGTTGTGGACATATTTTTTCTTTTCTGTTAAGTCAGACCCAATGGGTCAAAAGGGGAGTCTATGTTTAAGTTTATAAGACATTGTCAAAATATTTTCCAAATTGATTGTACCATTTTAGAGTCTCATTTGCAATGCATTAGAGTTCCAGTTGCTCCATTCTTACAGTGTTTGGTGTTTTGTGGTAGCTCATTGGCAGGTTTTGATTTGCATTTCCCTGAGGCTTAATGATGTTAATTATATTTTCATGAGTTTATTGTCTCTGTGTTTATCTTCTTTTGTGGAGTATGAAGTCTGCTCAAGTCCTATGCCCCTATTTTTATGGGTTGTATTTTTACTTATTGTGTGATAGGAATTCTTTATGTATTCTATATATGGGCCCTTTGGCAGATAAATGTGTTAATAATTTCCCCACTCTGGCTTGTCTTTCATTTTCTCAGTGGCATCTTTTACCATTAAACTTATCATTTCTAGCTCTTTCTCTGTAAGAAGTTTAAAAAGTTTTGATAAGGTTGTGTTTATCAAACTTTTGTCTTCTTTTATGAATAGTGCTTTTGCAGTTTAGTTCAGAAATATTTGAATAGTAGTGATGAGAGAGGACATCATTGCCTTGTCCTTGATTATGCCTTGTTCCTTGCTATTGGTTGTTAGTCATGAACAGCAGACATTTGCTGTTAGAAATGAAATTAGTTGTAGGTTTTTCATAGATGTCCTTTGTTAAGTTTAGGAAGTTCCCTTCTATAGTTTCCTAAGGATTTTTCCCCTGGGTGTTAAATTTTTACAATATGTTTACTGTATCTATTGAGATAATCACATGTTTTCCTCTTATTCTGGGATTCTGTTATTATTTACCATACTATTATATTAATTGCTTTTATAATTACATTGAGTAACTTTATAACATTAAAAACCTTGCATTTCTGGGATAAAACTCAAGGTTGTAGAACATATTACCATTTTCATTTTGTATTAGTCCGTTCTCACATTGCTATAAGAAAATAACTGAGACTGGGTAATTTATAAAGAAAAGAGGTCTAATTGGCTCAAGGTTCTACAGGCTGTACAGGAAGCATGATGCTGGCATCTGCTCAGCTTCTGGGGAGCCTCAGGAAACTTACATTTCTGGCGGAAGGTGAAGCGGGAGTAGGCATTGCTTACATGGGAGGAGCAGGAGCAAAGGGGCGGGGGGAAGTGCTACACACTTTTAGACAACCAGATCTTTTGATAAGTCACACTCACTATCACAAGAATGGCACCGAGGGGATGGTGTTAAACCATTCATGAAGAACAACCAAGAACAACCCCCATGATCCAATCACCTCCCACCAGGCCCCACCTCCAACGTGAGATTCAGACATGCCCCACTGTTAAAAACCCCCACGGATGTGCAGTTGGTTTCAGGATGAGTGTAAACTCTTTAGCATGTATTAAATCCTTCACAGATATTCAAGGTCGTTTCTGATCATTACTAGTTATGTACCATAGGTTCCAGCCTCCCTGTCTTTTCACTATTCTCTGGACACCCATCATCCTTCAAGCCTCTCTACATTTGCACATGTTGCTACTTTGTTTAAAATAGTCTTCCTTCTCTTTCTATCTGAAAAATTTCTGCTTATCCCTGTCAGAACCAAAGCTGAAGTTTCCCACCATAGCAAGCCATTCCTTCTAGTCCATTTAAAGTCATATGATCCTGTGCTGTAATTATCTGCTGACAAGTTTATTTCTCTGCTGGACAGTGAGCAGCTTGATGGTCTTACTCACCAGTTTTTTTTTTTTTTTTTTTTTTTTTTTGGAGACAGGGTCTTGCTCTGTCGCCCTGGCTGGAAAGCAGTGGTGTGATCACAGCTCACTCTAACCTTGAATTCCTGGGATCAAGCAATCCTCCCACTTCAGCCTCGCAAGTAGCTAAGACTTCAGGGATACATCACCATGCCCAGCTAATTTTTGTTTTTTACTTTTGTAGAAGCAGGGTCTTGATATGTCACCCAGGCTGGTCTGGAACTCTGGACCTCAAGGAATCCTCCTGCAGTGTCTCCCAAAGTGTTGGGATTACAGGCATGAGCCACCTTGCCTGGCGCTGATCTTACCTTTGATCCTCAGCTCCTAATAAAGGGCCTGGGATGAGTAGAAACTCAATAAATGTGACCAAATTAACAAAGGAAACAGATGGAGGATGGCATACAAAAGAAAACATGCCATACCTGCACATTTTTAAATGTTTTCCCTAAATGTTTTTATTTCCTTTTATGATAAAGTCAGAAGGAAATAAAACAGGGCCGGGTCACTAAAGATTGTACAGTTCATTTTCATTCCTGGGTTTTTCCAGCAAGAGCAAGATTATGGTTCTCCTATTGGGCTGCATCTGCATTTAGTTTGAATTGTCCTGTTTTCAGCAATACATATGATGATTAACTGCTAGAATTCAATAATGGGCAGTAAGATTAAGTGACGATGGAAGATTAATTTAAATACAGTCTGAGGTTAAGTGAGGAAAAGCAAGTATTTTATTTTTGTCAAAATTTGAAGTATTATTAATGCTGGGATCAGTGGTATAACTAGAAATAATAGATTAAAATTAAGAAAGGAAAATTTTTAGAGAAAGATAAAAAGTCTCTAGACAGTGAGACCTACTAGACTGTGAAATAGGCTTTCAAGTAAAGTGATGGAACACAATCCCTGGAGACATTCTAAATAAAGGAACAATGGACTAGAAAGTGTTTTGCAGCGAGGAATTCTGCATTGATGACTGGAGCTAGAAGGGGGCAGGGAAATGGGACGATGACCAGATGTGGCCCATGGCAAGGCCGTGCATTGTGAAGGGAGGAGGAGGGTCTGAGATCCGGGAGCCCTGCAGAGAGTTTGCTGAAGAGTGAAGAAAGGACGGCGTTAGTAATGGGATGAGGGATACTGGAGTCCGAATTAACATAGCACACAGAGAGATATTCAGGTTGGTAGAAAAGGCTAGCTAGATCCAAACACTGACAAAGAAAAAGAAGCTTGGATGGAGAGAGTAGATCTCGCTCAGAGGATCTTGATAGATTAGAAGCATTTAATCCTGACATAATTGGTAGCAGGAATAAAGTGCAGACTATTGAACTTGGAATTAGCCCTGTGCAATAGAATACTTATAGTCACTTATAGTCTCTCTCCTTATGGAAGGCAGGTGTAAGGTGGGGATGGGGCAAGGAAGCCCTGCATCTGATAGAGAATGGATATTTGCCGAATATTTGTTGAATGAAGGAAAGAATGACTGGATAAAAGTCACATAATCAAAGTACAGTTGTAAAAAAGATTAGTTTTACAGTCAGGTGCAGGACAGATTAGAAGAGAGAGAAGCTAGAGATAGCACAACCATGGAGAAGCCTCTTGGAGCATGATATAGAGCACTGGCTTTCAAACTTCCTGTCCCAGTAAGAGATAAATGGCGGGGCATCATATCTTTCTCACATCTGTAATCCCAGCACTTTGAGAGGCTGGGGTGGGAGTGCCACTTGAGGCCAGGAGTTTGAGACCAGCCCTGGCAACATAGTAAGACCCTGTCTCTACAAAAAATTAAAAAAAAAAAAAAAGAAAGAAAGCCGGGAATGGTGGCTTGTTCCTGTGGTCCTAGCTACTCAGGAGGCTGAGGTGGGAGGATCACTTGAGTCCAGGAGGTCAAGGCTGCAGTGAGCTATGATTGCGCTAATGCACTCTAGCCTGGGTAACAGAGACCCTGTCTCAAAAAAATTTTTTAAATAAAAAAAAAGTTATATTGTGACTCAGTGTACACATACACATGCCCACATACACAAGTATGTCACAAAGCAATACATTCACTATTGAGTAAGGAATGATATGAATGTTTTTTGTATTCTATTTTTTTTTAATGCTGGCTGGAACATACTAAATTGACTTTATAACTGGCTAATGTAAATGCAGTTTGAAAAGCATTGATCTGAAAATAAATAACCAATTACTATAATCAAATGAGACACAATAAACAGGATACTTTTTGAAGACATATTGAAGTCCAACTTTTTTGTTTTGTTTGTTTGTTTGTTGTTTTGTTTTGTTTTGTTTTTCGAGATGGAGTCTCGCTGTGATGCCCAGGCTGGAGTGCAATGGCGCAATCTTAGCTCACTGTAGCCTCTGCTTCCTGGGATCAAGCTATTCTCCTGCCTCAGCCTCCCGAGTAGCTGGGATTACAAGCACGCACCACCATACCTGGTTAATTTTTGTATCTTTAGTAGAGACTGGGTTTCACCATATTGGCTAGGCTGGTCTTGAACTCCTGACCTCAAGTGATCCATCTGCCTTGGCCTCCCAAAGTGCTGGGATTGCTTAAAGTGGGAAATTCCCAGCAGCTGACCAGTCATTTAGACCAGGGAGATGCGGTTAGTCATACGGAGGAAAGGTGCAGTGACCTCAGATACACTGTGAAAATTCTCCTTTCGAACCTGCCAGAGCCTTTGTTATACTTATATATCCCTCAACACAGAAAACTCAGAGCACTTTTAGGAAACTTACTGGGGACTCTAGGTGTGGGAATCAGTTAAATACCCAATGGGTTGTTTTGATAATTCAGATTAATGTCAACATATGACACAAAGCTCAAAACAAAGTTATTATTATTATTATTTTGGTAGAAAATAAGTCATGGGCCTTCTAATCTAGGACAGAATTGAATTGAATTTTAAGGTTAAATATTAATCCCACCAAGTTTTCATCTTCCCAATTTTTTTCTCAATGACACAGATTCATCTTATTTTTACAATTCCTTCCAGTCCAAATCTCTTGGATAAAGATGTTTGTAAGTTGTTCTAATTTCTGTTGCTCTTCCCACTGGCAGACAGAAAACTGTTTTGCTGTCTGAGCTTCCCAATAGGACCGTTGATCTAATTCTCCCTTCATTTCTTAATAGGTTTCGAATGATCCTCTCTGGTATTCATTTCTCTCCCGACACACCAGTAAAAGGCCATCTTTCTTCCCTTGACTCTGGCTGACAGTAATATATTCTTTTCTTTTCTTGGCCTTAATTGACATTGTTTGTACTCACAGGGATCTCTTATCCCTCTTCCTTCCTGGTAGTTTAAAAAACCCACCTATATTCACGCCTCATTTGTCTGAAAGCATTCCCTCGAGAAGCTTTGTTGGCAGTTACTTGGTCTTTTGGAAGTTCTTTTTAAATCTTGGCCTCCCCTCTGAGTCTTAATTACGTGTTTCTGAAAATTCTTCAGCTTTCTCAAAGACTTGTGGAGAGCAATGTAATGGAGTTTCAATTAATGGATCCTCTAGGAAAGAAGACCTTTATAATCCACTGTGTTTGTATTTTTAAAAAGGCAAAACAAAATAATCTTTATAAACTGGTACACGGTGTTGGTTTGCTATCTAGGCTCAAGGAAGATAGATTGCCCTTTGCTACCATTCTTGAAAAAGTGGAGAGAGAGAGTGGATCCTTGTGAGGTGGAGCTAAAGGCACCTGAGTTTAGAGGTGGACACATCTGGGTTTTAGTACCGGGTCTGCCACTAATTTGCTTTGTGACTTTGGGCTGGGTGTTTAGTCCCTCTGAGCCTTAGTTTCCCCATCAGTAAAATAAGTGTAACACTATTTACTTTAGTAAAATAATGGATTAGATAGGAGGATGTATATTAAGTGCCTAGGACAGTGGTTCTTCAACTTTGATAAGTGTCATAATCACCTATAAATTAATAAGGAATACAGAGGCCCACTTGCACGGAGGTCAGCTAAGGTTCTCTGTATTTGTATCAAGATCCCCATGTGATTCCACTATACACTGAAGTTGGAAAACCTAGTCTAGCATCTTGTAGACATTCACTACATATTAGCCCATTGCCCCATTTTAACATTCAGAGCAGTCAAAAAGCAACTTTAAGCAATTTAAAGGAAATTAATTTTGATTTAACCTTGAGTTTCAAAGGCCAGAGAACTGGAGAGAAAAGGAGTAGTGTTGAAGATAAATCTATTTTATGTCTCCCAATCTGTAGCCCTAGAGGCCAGACCCTTCAGCCTCATATTGCAGCTCCCGGCTCTAATTGTTATCTTTTGCATATTGATAGGAAAGCATACTCTAGAAATATGTAGTTTTATACATTTTTAAATCAAAAGGTAAAATTCATCTGAATTTTTAAAAGTTTTTTCATAGTTTGTACTTTTTACTACCTTGCAGTTCCTATTTAATGTTTTTAGAAAAAGGCCTCTATTTTGTTACTTTTTAACCAAGATTATCCTATATTACTTGTACCTCTGGTTGCAGTGTTGTTTTATTTTGTTTATCTCTTTATTTATTTTGTATTATGTTTTATTCCAAAAGCATTTGAGGAGGCTTACAGAAACTTGTCGTGGACCTCTGGCTTCTGCTGAGGATGTAAAAACCTGGAAAGAGAGCCTCTCTTCTTCTAATAACAAGAAAGAGTTAGATAACCTCCCAAATCATAATTTTCTTGAATTTATCAGAGATCTGAGGTCATAGGGCAATCAAATACCTGAAATCTAAGAAAAAAAACAAGCACTTCTAAGGAGCCATCATAACCCTGGCTTACCTGTGAGAGAGAAAGGAGACACTACCCCTGATATAGTTCAGAAGATTTCAGCCAAATATTTTAATAAATTGCTAAAGGTTGAGTATAAGCTCACACAACAGCATAGAATCCCTGGGAGTCTCAGATATAAGGCGAGTTCACACTGGCTCACAGACTCTTCTCCATGAACCTCACCATGTGCTCACAAGAAAGATTCAGGGCAGACCCAGAAACCCGAGAAGGCTTCCCTCAGTGGTACACACTTGGAAGAGGGGGGTGGCCACCGTTGTTGGAAGGCATGAAGTGCCCCTTTCCGCAGACTCGTTTTCTCCATCTCTCCTATGGAACAAAAGCCTTAAGCTATTGGGGGAAAGATGACAATGTTGTTCCCAGGACAGAGAGGAAGACACATCTCAGCTGGGGCAAACCAAGGGACAAAAGCCCTTGACACTTGAAGGAGAGGGAACAACACTCTGTTGTAGATTCTGATCATTAGAAATGTCTTACCACGGAGGATGGTGCAGGAAACTCACATAAGATATGTCAAACATACAAGATAGAGTTTGGCTGCCATAGGAAATAGGCCAGGACCATTTGAATTTTCCACCACTGACACCCAATGACACAGGGCTTATCTAAGACTGTGGATGAATCAAAACAACAGAAAACATCCCCCTACTCCATAGTTAGCAAATGTCAAGTAACAAATAACAGCAAATCTACCACTGGGGAAGGAGCAAGAGCATGGAACAAAACCCTCTCTGCGGCCGGGCGCGGTGGCTCATGCCTGTAATCCCAGCACTTTGGGAGGACGAGGTGGGCGGATCACGAGGTCAGCAGATCGAGACCATCCTGGCTAACACCGTGAAACCCCGTCTCTACTAAAAATACAGAAAAATTAGCCAGGCGTGGTGGCGGGCGCCTGTAGTCCCAGCTACTAGGGAGGCTGAGGCATGAGAATGACGTGAACCCGGGAGGTGGAGCTTGCAGTGAGCCGAGATCGTGCCACTGCAGTCCAGCCTGGGCGACAGAGCCGGACTCCATCCCAAAAAAAGAAAAAAAAAAAAAAAAGAAAAAAAACCCTCTCTGAGGTTCAGTTACACAGGTAAAGCTTAAAGATGACAGTGAAATGAGAATGTAGAGAATAATTCTTAAACATAAAATAATACTAGAAAATAATGCCTGTGGTTCATTGACCGTGATCATAGCAACAAAACTCAAATCCAGCTCAACGACTGACTAGATTGTCTCAGCCTTCACTCTGAAGACTAGCAGAAACAGGATGTGGCCAGGCCCAGTAGCTCATGCCTGTAATCCCAGCACTTTGGGAGGCTGAGGTGGGCGGATTGCTTGAGACCAGGAATTCAATATCAGCCTGGCCAACAATTTACCGACAAGAGGCAAATTGATCAACAGAACCAGACTTAGAAATGAACGTGATATTGAAACTATCAGACAGAATTGAAAAACAATGATCAATATAGTAATTAATAAGGTAGACATCATGCACAAAGACATGAGGAATTTCAGTAGAGCAATAGAAATTATAAGAAAGCAGGAAATAAAAATTTTAGAAGTAAAAATAGAGTAACAGAGATGAAGAATGTCTTTAATGGGCTAATCATAAACTTGACACAGATAAGGAAATAATTAGTATATTTAAGATAGGCCATTAGAAATAATGCCAACTAAAAAAAAAAAGAATAAAAAAATGCCACATCCAAGAGCTATAGGATAATATTGAATAGTCTAATATTCATGTAATTGGAATCCCAGGGGGAAAAAACAGAGAAGAAGAAAGAAGATATATTTGAAGAGATAATGGCTGATAATTTTCCAAATCATTGAAAGATGCTAAATCCCAAATCCAAGAAACATAGAGAAAATCAAGCAATATAAATACAACACACACACACATACACACACACTCCTAGATGTGTCGTATTCAAATTGCTAACAACAAAAAATAAAGAGGAAAAATGTGAAGATAGCCAAAGAAAATAAATACATATTACTTATATACAGAGGAAATATTTTCCCTCATTTCGAGGGTGGCTCTTCACTTTGTTGATGGTATTCTTTGAAACACAAAAGTTTTTCGTTTTGATAAGTATGATTTATCCAGCTTTTTCTTAACCTTTTTTTTTTTTTTTTTTTTTTTTTTTTTGAGATGGAGTCTCACTCTGTCACCCAGGCTGGAGTGCAATGGCTCGATCTCGGCTCACTGCAAGTTCCGCCTCCCGGGTTCACGCCATTCTCCTGCCTCAGCCTCCCGAGTAGCTGGGACTACAGGCAAGCACCGCCACGCCCTGTTAATTTTTTGTATTTTTTAGTAGAGACGGGGTTTCACCGTGTTAGCCAGGATGGTCTCGATTTCCTGACCTCGTGATCCGCCCGCCTCGGCCTCCCAAAGTGCTGGGATTACAGGCGTGAGCCACTGCGCCCGGCCCATAACTTCTACATTTGGTGTTATATCTAGGAAAATGTTACCCAATCCAATTCACAAAGATTTAGTTCTGTTTTCTTCTAAGGGTTTTATAGGCTTAGCTCTTACATTTAGAGTTAAGATTCATTTTGAGTTATTTTTTGTGTATGCTGTAAGGAAGGAGTCCAGCTTTATACTTTTGCATGTGGCTATCCAGTTGTCCCAGTACTATTTGTTGAAAAGACTATTCTTTCCCCCATTGAACTTCCTTGGCATCATTGTCTAAAATCAACTGACCATAAATATAAGTTTTTCTCTATAGGATCTCAATTCAATTTCATTTATCCATATATCTATCTTTATGTCATTAACATACTACCTTGATTATTATAACTTTGTAGTAAGTTTGAATCAGAAAATGTGGGTCATCCAACTTTGTTCTTTTTCAATAGTGCTTTAGTTATTGTTGGTTCCTTCTATTTCCACATGAAGTTTAGGATCATCTTGTCAATTTCTGCAAAGAATGCAGCTGGGATTTTTTAAGAATTGCTTTGAATTTATAGTTGGATTTGGAGAGCATTGCCATCTTAACTATATCAAATCTTCCAATTCATGAACATGAAAATGTCTTTCCATTTATTTAGATTTTTAATTTATTTCAATGATGCTTTGAAGTTTTCAGTGTACAAGTTTTGCATCTGATTTAAAAAATTTATCCCAAAACATTTTATTCTCCTTGAGGGCATTTTAAAATAAAATCATTTACTTAGTTTCATTTTTGGATTGTTCATTGCTGACATATAGAAATTCAATAGATTTTTATGTATTGATTATATATTTGCATCCTTACAGAACTCACTTATTAGTTCAAATAGTTTGGGTTTTTAAAATTTCCTTAGAATTAGTTGTATGTGTGTGTATATATATGTATGTATATACAAAATTAGTTGTATATATGTGTGTATATATATGTGTATATATGTATGTATGTATATAAAATATTTCATTATCAAGTAAAGATAGTTTTACTTCTTTCTTTGAATCATGATATCTTTTATTTCATTTTCTTGCCTAATTGTTCTGGATAGAACCTCCAGTATAATGTTTGAATAGAAGTGGCAAGAGCAGGCATCCTTGCCTTCTTGATAATCACAGGAGGAAAGCATTCAGTGTTTTACCACTTAGTATGATGTTAGCTATATTTTTCATAGATA